>NC_000003.12:136432846-136735877 GCF_000001405.40 Homo sapiens
CTGGTAACAAACTACAGATCTTATCGACCAAGCATGTGGGTACATGTGTATTGGCAAGAAGGCCACAGACTTCCGCTGCTTTTACCTGAAGCTCTATCAATTTTTCAGGAAAAAATATTTCCCAATGTGTGTTTTTTTTTTAATCTTTGGTGAATTTCCAGAGCCCTGATGTAATGTTTTTGACAATACATTCCAGTTTTATACTTGCTTTTTGCAGAAAGATCTGCCTACCTCTTCAAACCAACAGAGCCAGGAGTCTCTCCATCTATGATTATCTGAACTCATCTTTAATATAAATACCTGTATTACTAGTCCCATATTACAGATAAGGAAACTAAGACATACAAAAATCATTCATCTATCTAAAGATTATATAGCTGCTAAATAGAAGAACTTGCAAACTAGGCATTTTGCTTCCAGAGCCTTTATGTACTTTTAATAGACGTAAAAATCCTTAAAATATATATATATATAAAATACGTAAGTACAATAACAGAAGCAGGTACAGGTGCTATGGGAGCATGAAGGAAAGAATCTATTTTTGGAACCTGAGTATAGCATATAGGATATAAAGATGAAGCACCATAGTCCATCATTTATAAAAACACCATGTTTTTAGGGATACAAATATCAGTAAAATTTCCAAATATTTAAGACAGTTAATTGCCATTAAAAACCTTTTAGGAGATTTCTCACTAATGTAACTTACTCTCTTGCCGGTACCCCTTCCCACTGGAGGATGTGCCTCAGCAGCTTGACGAATTGTACAAACCATTAGCTCTATAAGAGCACTCTCTTGACGATCAGACATTGCTAAGGTAAAACAAAATACATGAGCATGAGTAGACAGTTTTACAACAACCATGTATTAAAAATGAACACATTATTAAAAAAACTGAAAACATTCTATTACTGCTTATTTTAAAGACTAAAGTTAAGCTCTGTACTTTGCTATTTTTTTTTTTAAAGTAATTATGTGCTTGCTGTCATAAGTCAAATAGGAAAGAGATACAAAGTAAAGAATAAGAGGATAAACTCTGGTCTCTTCTAATGCTACCTTTCTAAGTTAGGCAATTCTAAAATTTCACAGTGTTTCCTTCTACATAATTTCAAAACTCCTAATTTTTCTTTTTTAATGAAAAAGACTATGCCGTATGTTTTTAAAAACTTAACAGACAATATTTTTCAAGTCAATACACACATAATAATTATCTTAATAAATTACTATCTAACGTATGTACCATAATTCAGTCAGCCTTCTACTTATGGTCATTCAAATAATTTCCTGATTTTTGACACTGAACAATGCTTCAATAAACATCATTAATAGATATATATTTATGTAACTGATACATTTATTTCTGTACAATAAATTCTCCAAAGAAGAAATAATGGATTCAAATGGCAAGACCTTGATATTGAGAAATCATAAGATTATTTATTATAATTTATATCCCCAACTGCAATGTTATGAATGTTTGGTTCCTTATATCCCTGTGAACACTAGATGTTATAAACCATTTTAATTTTTGCCAGTCCAATGGTTGAAAAGGGGTATTTGGTTATTATTTTGCTCCTTCCTATCTACTAATTAGTTAAGTGGAATATATTTTCTATTTTTCCCTAAGATTTGTCTATGTTTATTCTTCACCTGTTTTTGTGCTACTATTCACCTTTCTTATCAATCTGAGAACTCTTGTATGGTAGGGGTAGTACTTTTTATCTTTTGAATGATGCAAGTATTTTCTCCCAGTTTGTCATTTGTTATCAGACTCTTCATGGTATCTTCTGTCAGACAGAAATTGTTAATTTTTAAAAAGCCACGTCTGTCTCCTTTTGTTTTATGGCTTCCAGGTTTCTTGTATTGCCTTCAAAGATCTCTCTGTCCTGCAGATTACACTAATATGTTCTTCATTTTCTTCTAATTTATTTCATCTTTTGCTGTCTCGTGTGCTTGCTTGCTCTTTTGCTCTTCCTTCCTTTCACTTTTTCTGTCTCTCTTGCTTGCTCACTTTTGTATTTTTAACCTATTTGGCATTTATTTCTGATGATAGTAGGTGGGTCTGTTTATTCCCACCAAATAGCCAGTTGTCTCCACCACTGTTAAACCAGATTTCCCTTTTTAATTTAAATGTCATTTTTAAACATGGTTCAGGCATTTTTGGATTCTTTAGTTTCACTAATCTATTTGTATATTTCTATGACAATGCTTTACTGCTTTGATTATACTAGACTTATGGCATAATTTGTTATAACTTAATATGTAACTTAATTCAACCAACTTGAATATATAAGCAAGTTTCCCTTATCTAGCCCTTTTTCTAAAATTTTGTTTAATTTCTATAACGCTAATAGCAATTCATTTATTAAGAATTTTCTATATCTAAAGCACGATCATAAGTGGCTTATATGTAATAACTTGTTTTATCCACAAAACATTTCTAAGAGATAGGAACTAATATCCTCACTTCACAGACAGGGAGAATGAGCCACAGAAAAATGCACTTAGCTAGCAGTAGAGCATTCAAATATATGAACTCAGGTAGTTTGACCCCAGAGTCAGTTCTCTTAAGCACTACGCTATACTGTCTTTTCAGCATAAGCTTAGAATTCTACATAAACTTTAAAATCATTTTGCTTAGTTAGTTCGTATTCACCATATCTCCCAGAACTCTCTCAAACCCACTGGAATTATGACTAGTACCATTAAAAAAAATGACATTTTCAGCTAGAAATACAATATAGCTTTTCAGTTTTGAGATCTTAAGTCATTTAATTAAAACTATGGTTTCCTTCACATAGATTCTATACTTTCCCGAATTCTTTTTTTCTTTTTTTTTGAGACGGCATTTCACTCGTGTCACCCAGGCTGGAGTGCAGTGAGGCTATCTTGGCTCACTGCAACCTCTGCCGCCCAGGTTCCAGTGATTCTCCTGCCTCAGCCTCCCTAGTAGCTGGGATTACAGGTGGCTGCCACCGCCCCTGGCTGATTTTTGTAGTTTTAGTAGAGACGGGGTTTCACCATCTTGGCCATGCTGGTCTTGAACCCCTGACCTCGTGATCCACCCGTCTTGGCCTACCAAAGCACGGGGATTACAGGTGTGAGCCACTGCACCCAGCCTGTTTTTTTTGAGACAGTCTTGCTCCATCGCCCAGGCCAGAAGGCAATGGCGTGATCTCAGCTCACTGCAACCTCCGCCTCCCAGGTTCAAAGGATTCTCCTGCTTCAGCCTCCTAAGTAGCTGGGATTACAGGTGTGCCACCACACCCGGCTAATTTTTGTATTTTTAGGAGAGTCGGGGTTTCACCATGATGGCCAGGCTGGTCTCAAACTCCTGACCTCAAGTGATCCACCGGCCTCAGCCTCTCAAAGTGCTGAGATTCCAAGCATGAGCCACCACGCCTGGCCTCATTCTTACATATTTTTAAACTCAGATATTTTTGGTTTTTTTGGAAGTGGAGTCTCACTCTGTCACCCAGGCTGGAGTACAGTGGCGTGATCTCGGCTCACTGCAACCTCTGCCTCCTAGGTTCAAGTGATTCTCCTGCCTCAGCCTCCTGAGTAGCTGGGATTACAGGCATGTACCACCACGCCCAGCTAATTTTTGTACTTTTAGTAGAGACAGGGTTTCACCATGTTGGCCTGGCTGGTCTCGAACTCCTGAGCTCAAGTGATCCACCCACGTCGGCCTCCCAAAGTGCTAGATTACAGGTGTGAGCCCCTGTGCCCAGCCTTAAACTCAGATTTTGATAATTCGAATAGTTTAGTTCTTTCTTTCTCCTTCCCTCTGTATACTTATTTATATTGAAGACCAGTAGATGTAGGTATTATAGACACAGAACTAGGTATAAATTTAAGAATTCAATTAATTTACAAAGGTTTAAAAGTTTACATTGATTATTTTAAACTAAGTTGGAGCAAAATCAAAGAAAAGGCAAAAAAGATACAACATCTTGTTCTTTATTCTGTACCAAAATTATCTTGTAAAAATATGTATGTACATCTTAATTCAGTGTTTTAACAATTGTCTTTTAAAAAAACACATGAACTTTAGCTTATCTTAGGAAAAACAAATGAAACATCAGCTTGTCCATCTGTATCCGAATGATCCAATGCCTAGTAATACAAAAAAAGCTTTTTGCTCAATAACAACTAAAGTTCTATTTTTATGATTTCAGAAATTCATAATTTTTCACATTTGGCTGGAGCTAAAGGAAGTACAAGGCTGCCCATGAACTAAATGCATTGTCTGTTATTTAGGAAGAAAACACAGTCTTACGGAAAGTGAGGAAGGACAGAACAACTTATCTCAAGAACAGAAACATTCTCCCATTATAGTGGGAGTAAAATTCACAGTAGTGTTGAAGCTTAACTCAACCTTGCACAGTGTTCAATTCCATCAATTTTGTTACTTTATCATTTGAAGCCATCCACTTAGAAACTTACCCTGAACGGGGAGATAAGGTAAACTCAAAAGCAGTTGAAATTTAATTGAAATTCCTTTTGGGATATGACAGCAAAACTACATAATAAAATTGAAAGCAAACAAGCCTTAAGCCACAGGCAAGAGCCAAACAGCCACACTGACTGAAACAAATGGGTAGCTGTTCATGGTACAAACTGTCATTTGAACTTCCTAACACAACATATAACTATACAAGTTTCTACACAGCATCTCCATTTCCTCACTATTGATTTTAGTCTTATCACCTTGAACTCTGGCTTCTCCCTTTTAGTATCACTGAATATATATGGTATCATTGAATCATGCTTTAAAATCACCAATGACCTAAATCATCACAAAATGATTTGTGTAGTCTTTTTTCTCCTCTGCAATATATATTATTAACTATGGCTCTCTTGAACATCCTCTTTACTGGGCTTGCAAAGGTTATAATTATCTCTTATCCTTTTTATAGTTAGGTAGAACTCTCATTCTTTCTTGCTCTTCCTGCTTTCATCCCCTATCCACAATCTTTAACTCAGCCATGGGCTCTTTCCCTCTTTATAAGCCATCTCCCTCTTTTATATTTTTACCATCATTCCTCATAGAGACCACTGCAATGATTATGTATTTTTCCAAACAATGTTTATGAAAGGGATTTTTCTTAAAATATGCATTGGATCACATTATTCCCCTGTTTAAAATCTTCAAAAGCATCTTATTACATTTAGGATGAGATAAGTTCACTTATAAACTAAAATGCTCTATATCATCTGATTTCTGCTTCTATTACATCTTGTATCATTGGCTCATTATGTTCCAGCTATTGCATCTCCTAGAACATAACATCATTCATGTTTCAGATACTTTGAAACTGTTATTTCCTCTATCTAGATAGCTCTTTTATGACAATTTCCATATCTGGTCCCTTATCGTTTAGTTTCTTTTCTTTTTTTTTTTTTTTTTGAGATGGAGTCTCGCTCTATTGCCCAGACTGGAGTGCAGTGGCATGATCTTGCCTGCCGGGTTCCTGTGATTCTCCTGCCTCAGTCTCCCGAGTAGCTGGGATGACAAGGCGCGTGCCACCACACTCAGCTAACATTTTGGATTTTTAGTAGAAACGGGGTTTCACCATGCTGGCCAGGCTGGTCTTGAACTCCTAACCACAAGTGATCCGCCCGCCTTGGCTCCCCAAAGTGCTAGGATTAAAGGCATGAGCTACCGTGCCTGGTTGCCTTATCATTTAGTTTCTTGGCTCACAGGTGGCCTGCTCAGGAAGGTCTTCCATCAGGATTCAGTCTAAAGATAGATCCCCTATAATTATCCACCAAAGCTACTTATTAACTCTTGAAATTATTTTGAATATTTACTCAATTTTGGTCTGCCTTCTTCAGGAGAATGTAAGCTCCATATTGGCAGTGAGCTCATCTAGTATAACACTATACGCTCAGCACTTAGCATAATATTTGACTCATATAGTTAATAAATATTTTTAAATTATTAATGAATTAATAATTCCTGCTTTTAAGAATCTTATTATTTACAGCTACTTCATTCATCAACTGGATTACAGAATGTTAGCACTAGAAATAACCAAAGAAGATTATCTAGTTAAAGTTTCTCAGCCAGGTGTGGTGGCTCATTCCTGTAATCCCAGCACTTTGGGAGGCCAAGGCAGGCGGATCACTTGAGGTCAGTAGTTCGAGACCAGCCTGGCCAACATGGGGAAACCGATCTCTACTAAAAATACAAAAATTAGCCAGGTGTGGTGGTGAGCGCCTGTAATCCCAGCTACTAGAGAGGCTGACACATGAGAATCGCTTGAACCTGGGAGGCGGAGGTTGCAGTGAGCCGAGATCCGCCACTGCACTACAGCCTGGGCAACAGAGCAAGACCCAGACTCAAAAAAAAAAAAAAAAAAACCCATAAAAAAAAAAATAAAGTTTCTCATTTTACAGTTTAAGAAGCTGATATCCAGAAGTTACTTGATTTGGTTATGGTCTTGTTACCTGGTGGCAGAGCTGTTGACAAGAACCAGATCCAAACATTATACTAAAAATTTATTCAGCAACTTGATTTTGCTGTAAAACACCCCCCGACACACACACACACACACACACACACACACACACACACACACACACACACACAAACACTGTAAGACAGTCTTAAGGCCACTGTGATTTAAACTGATGTTGGTAGTCTGTCACAGTGTGTCTGCTTTCCCAAAATTTAGTCCTACATCTCCAACTGCTAACCACAGCCTTCTCCACTGGAATTCTACCACATTCCACCTATCTAAAAAATTACTTTAAAAAAAAGTTACTGGTAGCATTTTGTTGTCATAAAATACAGCAAAATACTAGCACAGAAAATTAATTTAGATGCCACTCCATGCCAGAGCTTATATGTGGTTTGCATGTGGTACAACATGCATAGAGATAAAATGTATTTGAAAAATTAAGTCATTATGTAGATACAGTTCTGCAACTGTTATGCCTAATTTCTCAGACTCTGCCTACCTAGATTCGATCAGTGAAACTGTGGTTGACTTCCAAAAATGTTCCCATCTGGTAAGTTACTTTTCTAGCTTAAACCAACCAACCAAACCCAAGCCAAGCCAAACCAACCTTCTGACCGGAAGTTTAAAAAATCCAATGTAAACAGAATTTAAACCACAATGAAACACCTAATAGTATATATTTTAACAAGTAAAATGCACCTAGACCACCTTCATTACTGAAACACTTAGTAATTATTATTTACTGACTTACACATCTTATTAACATGAGAGAAAGTTAACAATATCAAAGCAGACCATCTTGTCTTGTCTTAATTTATATATTTATTTTTTTCTTTTTTTTGAGATGGAGTCTCACACTGTCACCCAGGCTGAAGGGCAGTGGCGCAATCCTGGCTTACTGCAAGCTCTGCCTCCCGGGTTTACACCATTCTCCTGCCTCAGCCTCCAGAGTAGCTGGGACTACAGGCGCCCGCCACCAGGCCTGGCTAATTTTTCATATTTTTAGTAGAAATGGGGTTTCACCGTGTTAGCCAGGATGGTCTCGATCTCCTGACCTCATGATCCACCCATCTTGGCCTCCCAAAGTACTGGGATTACAGGCCTGAGCCACTGCGCCCTGCCCTTAATTTATATTCTTTGCCTCCCTTCTCCTTGGAAATAACCTTATGGAACATGGGGTGATATACAGAAAATGAGTTGGAATAGGAAGGAGAAGCTCTACCTTACTCTGGCAATTTTATAGCTACAAACAAGGTAAGGAAAATGAATGGAACCTACCATTGAATACTAACCTGAGGCCCTTTACTCAAGTGTTGATAAGGCAGTAGACATTAGAGGGAAATTGATTTTTATCAGGGAAAATATTAAGGTTAGTTAGAAACAGAATGTGTAAGCCGGGGAGTGGTGGCTCACGCCTGTAATCTCAGCACTTTGGGAGGGTGAGGTGGGAGGACTACTTGAGCCCAGGAGTTTGAGACCAGCTTAGGCAACATGGTGAAACCCCATCTTTACTGAAAATACAAAAAAAATTAGGCATGGTGGTGCACGCCTGTAGTCCCAACCACTTGGGAGGCTGAGGTCGGAGGATTGCTTAAGCTGGGAAGGCAGAGGTTCATATTCCTGTGATCACAAAAGTGAAGGGAATTCAAAATATAGTGGACAGTTTCACCTAGTGAGCAGAGGGCCCTGTCAACTTAACAACAGGACCATCTTTCCTTTTTTTTTTTTTTTTTTTTGAGATGAAGTCTCACTCTGTTGCCCAGGGTGGAGTGAATCGGCGAGATCTCAGCTCACTGCAATCTCTGCCTCCAGGGTTTAAGTGATCCTCCTGCCTCAGCCTCCCGAGTAGATGGGATTACAAGTGCCCGCCACCAAACCTGGCTAATTTTTGTATTTTTAGTAGAGACGGGGTTTTGCCATATTGGCGAGGCTGGTCTCAAACTCCTGACCTCAGGTGATCCACCTACCTCAGCCTCCCAAAGTGCTGGGATTACAGGCGTGAGCCACCACACCTGGTCTAGGACCACTTTCTTACTAAGGATATCATGGAGTGAAAGACCATGTGCAAATAAAATAAATAATAATTACAGCTAGAGGCAAATATAGCATAATAAGCTCTTCCTTGAAAGGTCTGAGAAAAGTTTGGGAAGAATTTGTGTCACACATAATAAATTAGAAAAAAGTTTTTAGTTTAGAAGAGGCATTTTGGGCCAGTTTACCAGCATGTATCTGGGTTTAACACAAACTTGTTTGTCTCAATGAATTATGTCAAAGCCAGAATAGATAATACAAATTAGTATCACTGCTTGGAAGGAACACTGGGGGATGCTCACTCTCCCGGTAATCTGCATGGGTAGTCTACTGCGGGGGATGGCTCATTATGCTCTTGTAATATTCCAAAAGGATGAACCACACAGGAGGGTACAGGAAGCAGAAAAGGGACTCAATAGAACAGTATCTTGCTTAATCTTCACAGCTATATAAGGTACACAAGGAAATAATCTCTGTTACAGAAAAAGGCAAACTAAGGATTAGAAAATCTGAGGACATAAGTAAAAAGAGAGAGAGTTAAAAATTTGAATTAATATTACTTTAGATTTTGGCCAGATGCGGTGGCTCACGCCTGTAATTCAAGCACTATGGTAGGCCGAGGCGGGAGGATCACCTGAGCTCAGGAGTTCAAGACGAGCCTGGTCAACATGGTGAAATCCTGTCTCTAATAAAAGTACAAAAATTAGCTGGGCATGATGGCATGTGCCTGCAGTCCCAGCTACTCAGGAGCCTGAGGCAGAAGGATCACATGAATCTGGGAGGCAGAGGTTGCAGTGAGCTGAGAATGCGCCACTGCACTCCAGTGTGGGTGACAGAGCAAGACTCAATCACACACACACACAAAAATTTTCTTTTGATTCTGAAGACCATGTTCAATCTACTGTGGGCCTCACTTACCTCAAGGCATCACTCACCTTCTAAAGCTGTTGTATGAATTAAATGAGTTACCAATTCTTTAAAGTACTATTGTGGGCTAGTTTGAAAACGTAACCATACACAGGAAAAAGCATTTCTAGTTCTAACGAACGAATATGCGTATAAGCTTTCAGAACACAATCTCTTTATTAGGTATACATGTTCAATTTGCTGTGCATATTATTAAGTAGCATATAAAAAGATGCATACTTCAAAAATTATCATGTGGCTCTTATGTCCCCCTATTTCTTGAGTAGCTAGGTAAATGACTTTATCTCTGATTTCCTGATTTTTATCTTAAAGAAAATGCAACAAAAGAGGGGATGGCTGTGGTCTAATTAAATCATTATGCATAAAAGGTTTTTTCAAAGTTCACATATAAATCAAGAAAAAAAAAATTCTGGATGTACTTAAAAAAAAAAACATTAAGTTACGTCAGTATTTTGTATCTCAAATCAGCATCAAGAAAACCTTTTGGCCAGGTGCAGTGGCTCATGCCTGTAATCCTAGCACTTTGGAGGGCTAAGGCAGGAAGATTACTTGAGGCAATCTGGGGACCACAGTAAGATCCCTGTCTCCACAAAAAATTTAAAAATTAGCTGAGTGTGGTGGCATGTGCCCATAGTCTGAGGTGGGAGGATCCCTTGAGCCCAGTAGTTCAAGGCTGCAGTGAGTTATGACTGGGCCGCTGCACTCCAGCCTGGGTGACAGAGCAAGACCCTGTCACTTAAATTTAAAAAGGAAAAAGTAAAGAAAAACTTTTTTGACTATTACATGACACGCATGGATTTTTAAAAACTTATGTGGCATGGTGGCAGTGTTTATATGGAAACATGTTAGAAACGATTGACACATCCTTACTTGTTACAGAAAACAAATTGTTCTCTTGGCAAAAAGACACAACATGCTTATATATGCTCATTTTTAAGAAGCGATCTATATACAACTGTATTGCTATCAATGGAAATACAAAATCATGTAAATTAACTTGTCAAAATACTATACCTTCCTCTCCTTGAACAGGTTCTTCTAATAGCAACTCTGTCATACATTCCCAGTCTTTCAACAGTTCTTGAGAGCTCTCCCATAAACTGTCCACCAAGTAGGCTGCATGTTCATGTAACTAAAAAGAAAAAATCAAGTGTGACCAAAGAATATTTAATAAAGAAACTACTAATACTAATTTGAGTTAAGAAATCATTTTCTTCATAATTAAAATGGCTTGGTTTCCATGATTCTAAAAACCACTTAGAGAACAATATATATATTCACATTCCACTGTCAATAGTGTGGATGCAGTATGTAGAATCAACTTTTTACCATTTACAGTAGTAAAAGTAAGGATCTCCTAGTCCAATGACATCATTTATAGATGAGGAAACAGAGCATAGCTAGTTAGAAAATTTTCTGAAGTTATATGCTGGATCTAGGTCACTTTTCCCTACTCCTTGCGGTCTCTTCAACTATCTTTATTTTTATTTTTTAAAGGAAATTAATAATTTTTCCCTTGGAATTCCATTAGAAACTCTTGGACCAGCTGTACTTACTTCACATCTCTGTCATCTTAGTCAAAGTAAAAAATACAAGTTACTCCATCTCTCCACTATTCTACTCTCATTTCCACTGGACTCATTTCATTCCTTACTCCACCCCCATTTTCTGTTGGTCATTATTCTCTTGACAATTTTCTTTGGAGCCCATGTTCCCACAGTAAACAAACATAGTTAAGGTCTTCATCAAACACTTCACACCAAACTCTACCACTTGCCAGTCATTAAGCCTTGGAGAATATTATCCTTTTTTTTTTTTTGAGATGGAGTCTTGCTCTATCGCCCAAGCTGGAGGGCAGTGGTGTGACCTCAGCTCACTGCAACCTCCACCTCCTGCGTTCAAGTGATTCTCCTGCCTCAGCCTCCCGAGTAGCTGGGATTACAGGCCCACGCCACCATGCCTGGCTAACTTTCGTATTTTTGGTAGAGATGGGGTTTCACCACGTTGGCCAGACTGGCCTTCAACTCCTGACCTCAAGAGATCTGCCTGCCTCGGCCTGCCAAAGTACTAGGATTACAGGTGTGTGCCACCATGCTGGGCCCTGAGAATATTACTCTAATGAAGCTTTTCAGGGAAGGCAAGTACAGAAGGTGTTGGCATTGTTCTGGTTTCTGCTACTTACAAGTAACTTCTCCACCCTAATATAAAAGATCTTCCACTTTTGAGGCTCATTACATTCAGTTAAACAGTCCTGGTAATCAGTGTTAGTCAAACTACAGACTGCAATCCATTCTTGGGTTATTAAACCAATTCAATGCATTGAGAACTAAGATTCAAAAAATGATGCACAGTAGAAAGAGTGCATAGCACATAGAAAGGGTAAATACTATTTCATTAACTGTAATCTGTTATATGTGCTTGTACTTGTCAGAGAAAATATTTTTCTCATCATAAGTAGTGGCCCAAAAGTATGAAAGTCACCCTTCTAGATCTACTATTGGTTATCTACTGTTATCTTGGCACATTCAGCACTTGAGTTGGATTTCCTCCTCATTCCTAACTCTATAATCACTCTTAACTTCAGTGTGATTTTTTTTTCTCCTTTGGAGACAGGGTCTCACAGTGTTGCGCAGCCTGGAGTGCACTGGCACAATCACGGCTCACTGCAGCCTTGACTTCCTGGGCTCAAGTGATCCTCCGAACTTAGCCCCTGGAGTAGCTGGGACTATAGGAGTGTGCTACCCCGCCTGGCTTTTTTTTTTTTTTTTGTAGAGACGGGGTTACCATGTTACTAGGCTGGTTTCAGTGTGAATTTTAATGACTTATGTAATGCTCTGCCTCTTCTGACACTAATTCAGTACTTCATTTCGACTGCATTTCAAATGCACACAACATGTCCTGGTGAATTCCATCAAAGCCAGAGTAAATAATACTGATTAGCATCTTTGCTTGTAAATAATATAGGCAAAGGTTTGAGGGAGATATCTTCAAACTTTCCTAATTCGCATATTCTGAGAAACTATCCTTAGACCATCCATAACATTACTCCAACAGTGACAGGAACAAGAGGTGCACAACTCAAGAGTCAAAGATGAACAATGGCAGCAGAAAAAAGAAAAATAAATTGTTTCAAAACTGTTGCTATTAACCCATGCTAAATTAAAGAGTTATTATTTATACATATATAAATTAAAGAGCTTTATTTTAAGCTAAAATAAAGAGTTTCAGTTTGGGAAGATTTGAAAAAGTTCTGGAGATAAATGGCAGTGATGACTGCCTAGCAATATAAATGTACTTAATGCCAATGAACTGTATACTTAACAAGGTAAATTTTGTTTTATATATTTTACAATAAATCAGCTGAATATGCTTTTGTGCTTGATTATGTGTATTTCTGTAGAATAGGTATATGAAGATTTACAATCGCATATATTTGGCAGATTATACCTTCAATAAATACAGACTATCCCCTTTCTATCCCTCTTAATGCTTTTGGTCTTTAATTCTGGTTTATCTTGTACTGATATTGCCCCCTCTGCTATCTTTGTGTAATCATTTATTAGTTATTTCCAGCCTTTATCCAGCCTATTATTTATAAACTTCCTATAAGTTATTTTAAGATGTGTTTGTAAATAGCATAAAGCTATTCTTCATTTACTTCAATCCCAAATGATAATCTGCATTTTAATAAAATATGTTAATTGATTTATATTTACTGGGATTACTCATGCTGAAAATATTGCTGGCATTTTATTTTCTGTGCTCTATTTGTGATGTTTTCTTGATTACTTTATCTGTCCTTCATTCAGGGTTTTATTTTCTAGCATTTATCCGTTATCAAAATCCTTAGCCTATTTTTCACTTCTCTTCATTTAATTTGAACACTATACTCCTACATTTAAAAACTAATTAATAGATATTTGCCTTAAACATCAATGTCATAGTTTTTAGGTTTAGCGCTCAGGTTTTTGTTTTTTGTTTTTTAATTTATTTGCTCACCAATGTTTCTTATACTCCTCTTTTCCTTTTATTGTATTGATTTTTCACTTCCCTAGAAAACATGTTCAAGTAATAATCTGCATATAGAGTCTATTAGGCAGTAATCTGACTGCATGTCCTTTGATTTGGTTCTTTCCCTTCATTGTTTTTTTTTAAATTATTTTATTTTTAGACAGAGTCTCACTCTGTCGCCCAGCCTGGAATGCTACGGCATGATCTCGGCTCACTGCAACCTCCGCCTCCCAGGTTCAAGCGATCCTCCTGTCTCAGCATCCCGAGTAGCTGAGATGACAGGCACCTGCCACCATGCCTGACTAATTTTTACATTTTTAGTAGAGAGAGGCTTTCACCATGTTGGCCAGGCTGGTCCTGAACTCCTGACCTCAAGTGATCCACCCGCCTCATCCTCCCAAAGTGTTGGGATTACAGGCATGAGTCACAGTGCCTGGCCTCCCTTGTTTCTGTTCTCCTACACAGCTCCTACTACACAATATAATAAAATTTCTTAATCTATACTGTACCTTAATTTCTCTTTCATATTTTTTTTTTTTGAGACAGAGTCTTGCTCTGTCGCCCAGGATGCAGTGGCGCAATCTCGGCTCACTGCCACCTCTTGCCTCCTGCGTTCAAGCAATTCTCCTGCCTCAGCCTCCTGAGTAGCTGGGACTACAGGTGCATCCCACCACGCCACCCTGCTAATTTTTGTATTTTTAGTTGAGACTGTGTTTTACTATGTTGGCCAGGCTGGTCTCGAACTCCTGACCTCAGGTAATCCACCCGCCTCGGCCTCCCAAAGTGTTGGGATTACAGGCGTGAGCCATCGTGCCTGGCATTTTTGGGAAATTTCTTAAAAATATCGATAAGAAGCTGTCAATTTTCCTGTCTTAAATGACTGTCACAATTATCCTCCTCATTCATAAGAAGGGTGACTGGCTGGGCGTGGTGGCTCACGCCTGTAATCCCAGCACTTTGGGGGGCCAAGGCGGGCAGCAAGAGATCGAGACCATCTGGCCAACATGGTGAAACCGTCTCTACTAAAAATACAAAAATTGCTGGGTGTGGTGGCGCGTGCCTGCAGTACCACCTACTCAGGAGGCTGAGGCAGGAGAATCACTTGATCCCAGGAGGCGGAGGGTGCAGTGAGCTAAGATTCTGCCACTGCACTCCAGTCTGGCAACAGACCGAGATTTGGTCTCCAAAAAATAAAACAATAAAAAAAGAAGAAGGGTGACCATACTGCCAGATTATCCAGAAATGTTCTGGGTTGTTCTTGTTGTTTTGAAATAATTACTAATAGCATCCTTATCCCTCTGAAAAGCATCACATTTTTTTTTTTTTTTTTTTTTTTTTTTTGAGACAGAGTCTTAAACTGTCGCCCAGGCTGGAGGGCAGTGGTGCGATCTCGGCTCACTGCAAGCTCCGCCTCCCGGGTTCATGTCATTTTCCTGTCAGTCTCCTGCCTCAGCCTCCAGAGTAGCTGGGACTACAGGTGCCCGCCACCAGGCCCAGCTAATTTTTTGCATTTTTAGTAGAGACGGGGTTTCACCGTGTTAGCCAGGATGGTCTCGATCTCCTGACCTCGTGATCTGCCCGCCTCCACCTCCTAAAGTGCTGGGTTTACAGGCATGAGCCACCGCGCCTGGCTGCATCACACTTTTTATAATAAATTCTAGAGTCATACTACCTCTAGGGAAATCCAGACTTATCACATTCAAGTACGACTTATCCAACTATCTGGCATGCATCTAAAATACAAGGTATTTTGTCACCTGAAATCAATGACTGTCACAGGTTGAAACATCTTAAAAAATCACCTTTTGGTACCAAAAGAAAACAAAGTTACTGACTTGTTTATGCAGATCTCTTAATCACATTTTACATGCACTGCAAACTGATTCCAATTCAACATTTTATAATTCTACTAAAATGTTACTACTTCTCATTTCAGTAAAATAAAGAAAAAAATAATCAGTTCAGTTAATCCCAGGTAAATGTCTGTGTACTGGTCTGTTCTCATGCTGCTAATAAAGACATATCAGAGACTGGGAAATTTATAAGGGAAAGAGATTTAATGGACTCACAAAACAGATCCACATGACCGGGGACGCCTCACAATCATGGCAGAAGATGAAGGAAGAGCAAAGGGACATCTTACATGGTGGCAGGCAAGAGAGCTTGTGCAGGGGAAATCCCATTGATAAAAACATCAGATCTCGTGAGACTTACTACCATGAGAACCATGTAAGAAAAACTGCCCTTATGATACAGTTATCTCCACCTGGTCCCACCCTTGACACATGGGGATTATTACAATTCAAGATGGGATGTGGGTGGGGACAGGGCCAAACCATATCAGTCTGTAACTAATCTATAAAAGACTCCCTTGGCTGGGGACAGTGCTTCACGCCTGTAATTTCAGCACTTCGGGAGACTGAGGAGGGTGGATCACCTGAGGTCAGGAGTTCAAGACCAGCCTGGCCAACATGGCGAAACTCCATCTCTACTAAAAATAAAAAGATTAGCCAGGCGTGGTGGCGCATGCCTCTAATCCCAGCTACTCGGGAGGCTGAGACAGGAGAATCGCTTGAACCCAGGAGGCAGAGGTTGCAGTGAGTGGAGATTGCACCACTGCACTCCAGCAAGACTCCATCCCAAAAAAAAAAGACTCTTTCTACTCTATTATTTCTAAAGTCTCTTTAAATTCAGTATTTCACAAGTCTATTACAAAATTTTACCAATTAAAGTGTGTGACAGTAAAACAAAGAGAAATTCAGAGTAGAGCACAATTGGAATACCATCATACTATGAGAATATGGCTTCATTAAGCATTCATCCTAGGTGTACACTAGTATAAAAAGATAAGAGGAGAGATTTTCACAAAGAATATTTCTTGTGAAACACAGGATACCATAAAAGTCAATATAAACACCATGAATCATTAGAATCAACCAGAAACCTTTCAATACTATTTGCAGTTGCTTTTGTAGCTGTGAAAAATGCAATACAGGGCCAGGCGTGGTGGCTCACGCCTGTAATCCCAGCACTTTGGAAGGCCGAGGCAGGTGGACCACCTGAGGTTAGGAGTTCGAGACCAGCCAGACTAACATGGTGAAACCCTGTCTCTACTAAAAATACAAAAATTAGCCAAGCATGGTGGTACACACTTGTAGTCTCAGCTACTTGGAGGATAAAGTATGAGAATTGCTTGAATCTGGGAGACAGAGGTTGCAGTGAGCTGAGATCACGCCACTGCACTCCAGCCTGAGTGACAGAGCAAGACTCTGTCTCAAAAAAAAAAAAAGAAGGAAAAAAAAGGAATGTAATACAGCTGGCAAATACATTCTAATTCTGTTGTAAGACTTTAGAAAATGGTAGCAAACACAGGAATACAGTAAGACCATCTGAAAATTGTGCAGTAATAAACATTACAAATTACTTCTTTAAATAAAAGACAAAACGCCTGAAACTAAGTACTCATGCCTTTTAATAAATTGAAAAGCCCTTGAGCTTTCAGAGATAAAAAACATTTTCCTTTAATGAATAATCAAAGTCAGTTAGCGAAGATCATCATATTCCCTAAACTTTTTAGTAGTTATCTCATACTTATCAATTTCTGAAACTATTGTTGCTTTTTTTTTTTTTTTTTTAGAGACAGGGTCTTGCACAGGCTGGAGTACAAATGGAGCGATCATAGCTTACTGCAGCCTGTGCAACTCCTGGGCTCAAGGGATCCTCCCACCTTAGCC
Source organism: Homo sapiens (assembly GCF_000001405.40). Lineage (NCBI taxonomy): Eukaryota > Metazoa > Chordata > Mammalia > Primates > Hominidae > Homo > Homo sapiens. The sequence continues at coordinate 136,450,018 of NC_000003.12, forward strand.
TCCCAAGTAGCCACCATGTCTGGCTACTTTTTATTCCATTCCTCTAAAAAACCTAAGGGAGGTAAGAGTGTAAGTTGAAATGGTTTACTAGACATGTGATATTTACGGGGTAGTTAGTGTTTTACTAAAAAAATTCACACTTTGCATTTTATTCTGTAATACATGCACCCTTGCTTGTTAAGAAAATAATGCTTCAAATCATTAGTATGCAAAGTGTGATCCTTGGACCACGAGCATGAGCACTATCTTGGAGACTGTTAGAAATGCAGAATCTCAGGCCCCATTCTAGAGCTATTGAATAAGAACTGGCATTTTAACAAGATCCTCAGGTAATTTGCATACACATTTAAAATACTATTAAACACATTCTTTACTCAAATTCAACTCTCTAGCTAGTTTTGTTTCTGACTTTATTTCTCTAGTCATTGGTAACTCTCTTAAAAAATGGCAGCAACTCCTTCACCACTTTCTGCTGTTTTGCCCTAACACCCTTCACTCCACTGACTGAGTTCTTCTCCAATTTTAATTTTCATATAGGCTACCTGTTTGTGTCTCTCTTCCTTATTCCTACTAAGTTCCCCTCTTACTCTCAAACTTGAGCATTCATAGAATCGTTTCTTCACTGACATTCTAGCACAAATCAAAAACACTTTTTAACAAATAAAATTGAGAGTCCTAGGTTTCTAGATGTTCTTTACTTCTTTTGCAACTCTATTTTGTTTGCTTATTTATTTTAATTTTTTTTGAGACAGAATCTGGCTCTGTCGCGAAGTGTGGAGTGCAGTGGTACAATCTCGGCTCACTGCATGCAACCTCTGCCTCCTGGGTTCAAGCAATTCTTGTGTCTCAGACTCTTTATTAGCTGTGATTAGGTGTGCGCCACCACGCTCAGCTAATTTTTTTCTATTTTTAGTAGAGACGGACTTTTGCTATATTAGCCAGGCTGGTCTTAAACTCCTGGCCTGAAGTGATCTGCCCACCTCGGCCTCCCAAAGTGCTGGGATTACAAGCGTGAGCCACTGCACCTGGCCTGCAACTCTATTTTCAAGCATTTCTAAACGAAGAAGTTAAGTTATTCAGGAGTTCTTCAGGTTTAATTTACTGTTTCTCCAATGACACGGCAGTAGTAGGAAATACAGATTACAATATATTAAAAAAAAAAAAACCCACACCATTTTGGTGGAAAAACCGAAGTTTACTTGAGAAAACAGATCCTGACATATAAGTGTTAATTACAAAATTGTTTAAGCAATAACTGAATATAGCACATGGAAATATTGCTATGAGGCTCGTACAACTATCAATTAAAACATGAATTTGTATTTTTCTTTCTCCTTACTAAATAATTTTCAAACAAGATAAAACTAATGTTATTAACAGTCTGACAATTTTCAAAAACTGTTTAATGTAATGTAAAAGCTACAGGCATAAAAACAAAAGGCAACAATAAAAAAAAGGTATGCAGGCTGGGCATGGTGGCTCATGACCATAATCCCAGCACTTTGGGAGGCCAAGGTGGGCAGATGACCTAAGTCAGGAGTTCAAGACCAGCCTGGCCAACATGGTGAAACCCCGTCTCTACTAAAGATACAAAAATTAGCTGGGCGTGGTAGTGGGCACCTGTAGTCCCAGCTACTCGGGAGGCTGAGGCAGGACAAGCCCTTGAATCTGGGAGGCAGAGGCTGCAGTGAGCCGAGATCGCACCACTGTACTCCAGCCTGGGTGACAGAGTGAGACCCTGTCTCAAAAGAAAAAAAAAAAAAGATATGCAGTATTGCAATACTGTAAAAGTTTAACAATTGCCAGTCTGTATTCAGTGTTGATCCACACCTACATATATATTCAGAACACCTTTCCACAAAAGGTAAAGGACTGATTCTATATCATGCAATTCATGAAGGTAACTTTATAAGAAACAGACTTGTTTTTATTTGATTGAAAAAAATTAAAATGAATTGACATTTAAAATGTAATATAATAAAAGAAATAAGGAATTATCTTAAAACATTTTTTACCTCACTTTCAAGAAAGAAAAGAACCAGCATCCTAATGAGGTTTCCATTCGGGCTGTTTCTTCCCCTCCTCTTTGCTAATGCTTCTTCTGCTTGTGGGTCATGTCTGCTAAATAGCCTGGAAATGAAAAACAGGGCATTGCAAAGTTACATGAATATGAACTTTAGTCTTCCCTCAACACACAAATCATTTCAGTGTTTAACAACAACAACAACAAAAAGGGGGAGCAGGGAGAACGAGCATCAGAGATCAGGCCAGGTGCAGAGGCTCATGCCTGTAATCCCAGCACTCTGGGAGGCCGAGGCAGGTGGATCATGAGGTCAGGAGACTGAGACCATCCTGGCTAACACGGTGAAATCCCGTCTCTACTAAAAATACAAAAAATTAGCCGGGCATGGTGGCGGGCACCTGTAGTCCCAGCTACTTGGGAGGCTGAGGCAGGAGAATGGCATGAACCCAGGAGGCGGAGCTTGCAGACAGCTGAGATTGCACAACTGCACTCCAGCCTGGGTGACAGAGACTCCGAAAAAAAAAAAAAATCAGAGATCAGATTATTCATCTATTTCAATAGAAATATGTAACTGATGTCATTATAGGTCGGAAAATGGTGGCATCTGAACAATGTCCTACAGGTTAAACTAGATATAAAATGTAAAGGGAAACTTTTACAATGAACAATCAATGTTCAAATATGTGTGAAAATGATAAGGACTGCTATTATCCTGTATGATTGATACTAGAATATGTAATTTTTAACTGAGTTCTATTTTCTTTTTTGAGACAGAGTCTCGCTCTGTCACCCAGGCTGGAGTGCAGTGGCATGATCTCGGCTCACTGCAACCTCTGCCTCTCGGGTTCAAGCAATTCTCCTGCCTCAGCCTTCCAAGTAGCTGAAATTACAGGTGCCTGCCACTATGCTGGGCTAATTTTTGTATTTTTAGTAGAGATGAGGTTTCACCATGTTGGCCAGGCTGGTCTCGAACTCCTGACCTCAAGTGATACCCCTGCCTTGGCCCTAAGTTCTATTTTCCTAAACACTGATTTCACAGTCATGTAATTATAACATATAACCAAATGTTTCATCAATAATTTAAAAAATTCACACCTTATTATCTGGAAACATTATCTATGAACCCAATAGTTTTTAGTAAAATGACATTAATGGTAAATTAATAAAATATCATGTAGTAACAAAACATCTGAAATATGGCAAAAAAAAAGATTTGAAATTTTTAATTTGTTTAGATTTATTCTAACAAAACTTAAAAACTGCTAAGTTGGCCGGGCACGGTGGCTCACGCCTATAATCCCAGCTCTTTGGGAGGCCGAGGCAGGCAGATCATGAAGTCAGGAGATTGAGACCATCCTGGCTCACACAGTGAAACCCCATCTCTACTAAAAATACAAAAAATTAGCCGGGCGTGGTGGCGGGCGCCTGTAGTCCCACCTACTCGGGAGGCTGAGGCAGAAGAATGGCATGAACTCAGGAGGTGGAGCTTACAGTAAGCCGAGATCGCGCCACTGCACTCCAGCCTGGGTGACAGAGCGAGACTATGTCTCAAAAAAAAAAAAAAAAAATTGCTAAAGGTATCTTATTTCTAGGCATTGCTCTAGGTAAAAGGGAATCTTAGGAACAAACGACAAAATCCCTGTTCTCATGGAGCTCTCACTTTAGTGAATAAACGGTAGATAAGTATATACTGTTGCTGGTTATAAAGAAAAGTAAAAAAAAAAAACGGTATATGTATATAGCATGTACTAGTTTATACATAAAAGTCAGAGTAGGCCTCTCAAATGAGAGGCAAAATAACTGAATAAAATGAGAATAATTTCATGTGATATTAAAATAAACCAATCTCTACCAGAAAACGACCACAGAGAAGCTGAGGTTTTCTGGGGGGGCAGGTGAGGAGGAAGGCATATTAGGGGACTAGAGAACTTATCTTGAAGCTATATCTATAATCTATATAGCTGTCATTTAAGAGAAGGTTCTGTTTAATGGGTGACTTTCAGAGGGGTGGTAAAAGGAAAATATGAATATCCCTGATAACTGAAATATACCAATCTATTTATTTATTTTTTGAGACACAGTCTCACTCTGTCACCCAGGCTGGAGTGCAGCGGCACAATCTCCGCCTCCTAGATTCAAGCGATTCTCATGCCTCAGCCTCCCAAGTTGCTGGGATTACAGGTGCCTGCCACCATGCCCAGCTAATTTTTGTATTTTCTAGTAGAGACAGGGTTTCACCATGTTGGCCAGGCTGGTCTCGAACTCCTGACCTCAAGTAATCCGCCCACCTCAGCCTCCCAAAGTGCTGGGATTACAGGCCTGAGCCACCGTGATCGGCTTATTTTATGTTTTTTTTGAGATGAAGTCTCACTCTGTCGGCCTGGCTGGACGGCAATGGCATGATCTCTGCTTACTGCAACCTCCGCCTCCTGGGCTCAAGAGATTCTCCTGTCTCGGCCTCTGGAGTAGATAAGATTACAGGCGTGTGCCACCATGCCAGGCCAATTTTTTGTATTTTTAGTAGAGATGGGGTTTCACCATGTTGGCCAGGCTGATCTCGAACTCCTGACCTCAAGTCGTCCACCTGCCTCGGCCTCCCAAAGTGCTGGGATTATGGGGATGAGCCACCATGCCCAGTTTGTGCCAATTTAAATAATTCCATTTATTGCATATAAATAAGGTATTGAGGAATTTGCTTAAATTTTGAGTATTAAAATGTGGAATTTTTGATCATGTAGTAAAACATTCATTTCAGACAGATCTTACTACTTTTTGGATGATTGGTTAATATTGTGAATAGCTTATGACTAGACTACAAGACACTATACGTGTGTGGATGTGTACATTTATGTATCTTTGAAAGCTGATCATGGAACTCCTGGGGATACACCATAGCTTATTTAAGATTTTCTAAGTCACCATATTAAATGATGGAAGAATGATAAAAGAGATCATTAATCAAGTCATCAAACTGTAAGTTTCTCCAAGACACGGGCCTAAAAAACATTTATGGAGTGAAGCTTTCATTTGCATAAGAATTGGCTTGATTTTCACAAAGAAACAAAAACTAATGGAGGCTTATCCTTCTGGATTTCTGTGGCAGATATTCTAATAAAAACTTTTTTTGGTGTTGTGATATCAGCAAGATGGTGGAACAGAAGATTGCCGAGCATCACTCCCCCTACCAAGATACAACCAGAAACTATTCAAACACAAGGATACCACCCTGAATATGCTAGAACTCTGAAGAGAAGTGGAGAAACCCTCTGGGCCCACAGAATCAAGAAACTATGATTAGTAAGAGAAACAGTCATTTCACACGGTGCCAACTGCCCCCTCCCTACAAGCTGGCAAAACTCAAAGAGAATTTCCCTAGACCCATGATTCTGGTAAGAGGGAATTAGAAGTGGAAAATTGCTCTCCTTGCTGGTCTGGGCATCTTTGCAAGAAGCCCACTCCAGTTCCATCCCACGGAACCACTGGGAGTGCCTGGAGGCCAGAAACACCTGGGGTGAACTGGGGAGAAAGAATAGGGTGCTGATCACAGCAACTGGTGCACATCACAGCAACTGGTGCACGGATCTTGGCAGCCACTCGGCACATTGGCCAGTGGGAATGCCATGTTGAAGGGAGTGGCCAGTGCAAAAGCACTGCAAGGGGCACAATCCAAGCGAAGGATCAAATCCCTAGATGTATTTTCCACAAAGCCCAGGTGACTGTATAAAGTCTTTCCTTGGCCTGGAAACAACTAAAAGGTCAGGATTAAGTTGCAGTACCCACTTAAGGATTTCCCAGGTTGGGAAATAATGTAAGGCCAGCAATATAGTTCCAGGGAAGTGTTTAAGCTCCAGTACTAAGAGTCTTCACCAGACTGAGAAAGAACAGAAGTGCAGTGACTTGGTTCTGGAATACTGTTTAAATTCCACTATAAGTTCTTGCCAGACCAAGAAAAAAACAAGAGGCCAGGGTTCAAGTTCTGAAACTAAGAAGTAAAGGTCTAACACTACCAAAGAAAACTTGCAAAAAAGTGGAAGCGGTAGCTATCTCTTCAAATACACAAGCATCAACTTAAGTCAGGGAAATATTACACTACCAAACAAAACCAGCAGAGGTCCAGCAACAGATCCAGAAAAACTGAAGATCTATGAAATGTCTGACAGGCAATTCAGGGTAATCCTCTTAAAAAGAATTTTAAGGAATTACATACACACAAAAAATCCAAATAGAAAACTAAATCAAATTTGAAAAACAAAATGAGAAATATGATGAATAGAAACAATTTTTAAAAATCAAATATACATCCTAGAAATAAAGAATATAACTGAAGTGAAAAACTCACTAGAAAGCTTCAACAGCAAACTTGACCAAACAGAGGAAAGAATTAGTAAGCCTGAAGGCAGAACTTATGAAATTACCTAGTCAGAAGAGCAAAAAGAAAAAAAGAATTTAAAAAGCCTATGAGAATTATGGGACACGTTCAAGCAAACTAACTTCTGCAAAATTAGCATTCCCAAAGGAGACGAGAGAGAAAAAGGGCCTGGAAAGCATATTAAAAGAGTAAGGCTGAAAATTCCCCAAATCTGGAGAAAGACAACAGCATCCAGGAACAGAAAGCTCAGATGTCATCAAACAAATTCAACCCAAAGAGGAATTTCCCAAGGCATATCATAATCAAATTAACAAAAATCAAGGACAAAGAAGAAATATTCAAAGCATCAAAAGAAAAGAATCATATCATATTCAATGGAGCTCCTATATGGCTTTCAGTAGATTTATCAGCAGAAATCTTGAAGGTCAGGATAGACTGGGATGCTATATTCAAAGTTTTGAAGAAAGAAAACTGCTATCCAAGAATACTGTACCTAACAATATCCTTCAAACATGAAAGACAGATAAAGACTTTCCCAGACAAATAGAAGCTGAGGGAATTCATCAACACCAGAGCTGCCTTATAAAAAATGCCAAAAGGAGTTCTTCAATTTGAAAGAAATGAATGCTAATGTGTTGGCAGAAAAGCTCAGGCAGGATTGGCTTGTCTGTCATAATATAAAAGAGTCTTGGAAAATGTCCGGGGTCCAGGGTCTAAAACCCCTCATGGCCTTTGGAACAGCAAAGTCTGTGCCAAAGGGTGGAAGGCTGCCCTGCCGCACCACAAATATAAGCCCAGGCATAAAACCCCTCGTAGCTTGGATGGAATCCAAGGCTCAGAGCATAAAACCCCTCGTGGCCTCTGGAATGTGCGCAGACTTGTTGGTTGCTCTCCCAGGCTCGTAAACATGTTCTCCATTATCTCAAGCAGCAGAGCATATTTTATATGCATCAAAGAAAATAGTAAACTGTCACAGATAACGCTTGATGCACCGCTACCTTTCTACCCCTACGTCCTCATGTCCTCACCTGTTTACCCCCACATCCAAACGTCCTCACCACCTGCTTCTTTCTTTCATCACCAATAAATAGTGTGGGCTCCCAGAGCTCGGGGCCTTCGCAGCCTCCATACCAGCGTTGGCCCCCTGGACCCACTTTATGCACTCATTCTTAACTTGTCTTTTCTCATTCCTTTGACTCTGCTGGACTTCGTAGCCCCCACGGCCTGCTGTTGGGTCTGATCACCCCAACACTAATGTGTGACAAGAAAACTTCAAGGTATAAAACTCACTGGTAAAAGTAAGAAAACTGAAAAAAATTCAGAGTACTTTAAAATGCAGCAAGTAAATGACTTATATCTTAAGCATGAAGACTACAAGAAAAAACTATTAAAAATAACAACTGGGGCCAGGCATGGTGATTCATGCCTGTAATCTCCAAACTTTGGGAGGCCGAGATGGGAGGATCGCTTGAGCTTAGGAGTTTGAGACCAGCCTGGGCAACATGGCAAAACTCTTGTCTCTACAAAAACAAAAAACAAACAAACAAACAAAAAAACCCCAAAACAAACTGCAACAATTGCTGAGATAAGCAAAATTTTTAAAATGTAAATTGAAACACAGAAAAGCCAAAACATGGGAGGGGAGCAGTGTTAAAGTGTAAAGTTTATTTATGATACTTTACAATCAAAGTTATTATAAGTTTAAAATAAACTGTATTTTTTTCTGTGTTTTTTTTCTGTTTTGTTTGTTTGTTTGTTTTGTTTTGAGAGTGAGTCTTGCTCTGTCACCTAGGCTGGAGTGCAGTGGCACAATCTGAGCTCACTGCAACCTCTGCTTCCTAGGTTCAAGCAATTCTCCTGCCTCAACCTCCCAAGTAGCTGGAATTACAGGCACCTGCCATCACGCCTGGCTGATTTTTATATTTTTAGCAGAGACAGGCTTTCATCATGTTGGCCAGGCTGGTCTTGAACTCCTGACCTCAAGAGATCTGCCTGCCTTGGCCTCCCAAAGTGCTGTGATTACAGGTGTAAGCCACCATGCCCTACATAAAATAACCTGTTTTAACTACAAGATATTTTTTACAAGCCTCAGTGTAATCACAAAGCAATGTCTATAATAGATACACCAGAAATAAACAGCACAGAATCAAAATATATTATTAGATAACTAAAAGGAAGACAGTGAGAGAGAGAAAAAAATCAATGGGATCTACAAAACAACCAGAAAACAAGCAACAAAATGGCAATAGTAAACACATGCCCATCAACAATAATCCTGAAGGTAAATGGATTAAATTATCAAATTGAAAGACATATAAAGTGGCTGAAACGATTAAAAAAAAACATGACCCAATTATATTATGCCGTAAGAAACTCACTTCATCTATAAAGACACACACAGACTGAAAGTGAAGGTATGGAAAAAGATAATCCATGCACTTAGAAACCAAAAATGTAACAGAAGTGGATATATTTGTTATCAAATAAAATAGACTTTAAGTCAAGAATGATTAAAAAAAGACAAAGAAGGCCAGGCACGGTGGTGCAAGCCTGTAATCGCAGCACTTTGGGAGGCTGAGGTGGGCAGGTCACAAGGTCAAGAGATGGAGACCATCCTGGCCAACATGGTGAAACCCTGTCTCTACTAGAAACACAAAAATTAGCCAGGCGTGGTGACACGTGCCTGCAGTCCCAGCTACTCGGGAGGCTGAGGCAGGAGAACTGCTTGAACCCAGGAGGTGGAGGTTGCAGTGAGCCAAGATGGCGCCACTGCACTCCAGCCTGGCGACAGAGCGAGACTCTGTCTTAAAGAAAAAAAAAAAAAAAAGAAAAGAAAAGAAAAGAAAAAAAGACAAAGAATACCATTTTACAATGGTAAAAGGGTCAATATGACAAGAGGATATAACAATTATAAATATCTCTACACTCAATATTGAACCTCACAAATATATTTAAAAACTTAAGACATAAGGAAAGAGAGTAACTGCAATGTAATAGGAGTAGTAGGGGACTTCAACGTGCAATTTTCAGCAATGGGAAGATTATCCAGACGGAAAAAGAATCAATGTTTCCAAAGAAACACTGGAGTTAAACTGCATTCTAGACCAAATGGACCTAACATACATTTACAGAACATTCCATCTAACAGTTGCAGAATACTCATTTTTCTAGTAGCAAATGAAATATTCTCCAGGACAGGCTACAAGGTCACAAAAGAAGTCAATAGATTTTAAAATATTGAATGCATATTGAGTATCTTTTTTAACCATAATGCAATAAAACTAAAAATCAATTACAGAAGGAATGGAAATTGTTCAAGTTCATGTAAATTAGACAACACGCTCCTGAACAACAAATGGTTCAAAGAAGAAATTTTAGAATTTCGTGAGAGAAAAGAAAATAGAAACACAACATACTAAAACCTATGAAGTACAGTACAGCTAAAGCAGTTCTAAAGGAAAGTTTATACCAATAAGTATCTATATCAAAAAACTAGCAAAACTTCAAACAGACAACAATAATGAAAGGTATCAAGGAACTAGAAGACCCACACAAAAACAACAACAACAACAACATCAAAAAACAAACCAAAATTAGCCGAAGGAAAGGAATAATAAAGATCAGAGAATAAATGTAATTAAGACTAAATACAAAAGACCAATGAAACCACAATTGGTTTTTTAAAAAATAAACAAAATGGACAAACCTTTAGCTGAACTAAAAAAAAGAATATCCAAATAAAATCAGAGACAGAAAAAGAGACATTACAATGGTTACAAGAGAAATACAAAGGATCAGTAAAAACTATTATACACATCTGTATACCAACAAAATGTAAAACCTAAAAGAAATGAATAAATTCTTGGACACATACAACCTAACATAAATGAACCATAAAGAAATAGAAAACTGCCGGGCACGGTGGCTCACGCCTTTAGTCCCAGCACTCTTGGAGGCCAAGGTGGGTGAATCACCTGAGGTCAGGAGTTTGAGACCAGCCTGGCCAAGATGGTGAAACCCCATCTCTACTAAAAATACAAAAATTAGCTGGGCATGGTGGCAAGAGCCTGTAATCCCAGCTACTCGAGAGGCTGAGGCAGTAGAATCGCTTGAACCCAGGAGGTGGAGGTTGCAGTAAGCCGAGACTGTGCCATTGTACTCCAGCCAGGACAACAACAGCAAAACTCCGTCTCAAAAAAGAAAACCTGAAGAGACCAATAATGATATTGAAGCAGTAATAAAAATTAATGATACTGAAGCACTAATAAAGTCTCCCCCCCCAAAAAAAAAAGCCCGGTACCTGATGGCTTCACTGCAGAATTCTACCAAGCATTTAAAGAAGAACTAACACCAATTCTACTCAAACTATTCCAGAAAATTGAAGATAAGGGAATACCTCCAAGCTCATTCTACAAGGTCAGCATCACCCTGATGCCAAAACCAGACAAAGACAAAATAACAACAACAAAACAACAACAAAAACTATTAGACAATATCCCTAGTAAACATGCATGTAAAAATTCTCAACAATAACTACCAAACCAAATTTAACAACATATCCACAAGGTACTGTACCATAATCAAGCAGGATTTATATCAGGGACACAAAGATAGTTTAACCATATGCATTATCAGTAAATGTGATACATCACATCAACAGACTGAAAGACAAAACTCATATGACCCTCTCAACAGAGAAAAAGCATTTGAAAGAAATCAACACCCCTTCATGATAAAAACTCTCAACAAACTAGCAAAGATGAAACACATCTCAAAATAATAAAGTCCACATATGACAAACCCACAGCTACAATTACATTAAATGGGGAAAAGGTGAAAGCCTTTCCCATAAGAACTCAAGACCAGGATGCCAACTTTCACCACTTTTATACAACATAGTACTAAAAGTCCTAGTCAGAGCAGTTAGGCAAGAGAATGAAATAAAAGACATCCAAATTGGAAAGAAGTCAAATCATCTTTGTTTGTGGATGGCATAATCTTATATTTAGAAAAACAGACTCCGCCCAAAAAATTGTTGTGAGAACTAATAAATTCTGAAAAGTAGCAGAATACAAAATCAACATAAAAATCAGTAGCATTCTTGTACAGCAAAAGTGAACAATCTGAAAAAGAAGTCAAGAAGTCAATCCCATTTCCATTAACTAGCAAGACTCCGTCTTGAAAAAAAAAAAAAAAGAGAAAGAAAACACTGGGGATTCTTAAGAATATTAGTCTGGGTAGAGTTTTGGGGCAAGACCTCAATAGCATGGGCAATAAAAGGAAAAACAGACAAATGAGATTATATTAAGCAAAAAAGTTTCTATACAGCAAAGGGATCAATAAAGAGACAACCTGCAGAGTGGGTGAAAATATCGGCCAACTATTCATCTGACAAGGGATTAGTAACCAGAATATATAAGGTACTCAAACAACCCCTTAGCAAAAACGAAAACAATCCAATTTACAAATGGGCAAATGATCTGAACGGACATTTCTCAAAGGAAGACATACCAGTGGCCAACTGGTATACAAAAAGTGCTCTCATTATTTATTATAAAGAAAGTGCAAATAAGAAATCACAATGAGATATCATCTTACCTCATTTTCAATAGCTATTATCATAAAGACAAAAAAATAACATGCTGGCCAGGATGCAGAGAAAGGTGAATGCTAGTACACTGTTGGTGGGAATGTAAATTAGTACAGCAACAGTGGAAAACAGTATGGAAGTTACTCAAAAAACTAAAAATATCTACCATATGATCAAGCAACTCCACTGCTAAGTATATATCTACAAGAAAAAAATCAGCATATCAAAGAGATATCTGCACTGCCATGTTTACTACAGCACTATTCATAGTAGTGATACATGGAATCAACCTAAGTGTTCACCAGCGTTTGAATGGATAAACAAATGTGGTATATATACACAATGGAATACTATTTAGCCATAAAAAGGAAATCCTGTCATTTGCAGTGACACAGATGGAACTAGATGACATTATGTTAAGTGAATTAAGCCAAGCACAGAAGGACAAATATCTCATGTTCTCACTTTAATGTGGGAGCTAAAAAAAAGATTGATCTCCTGGAGGGGCAGTAGAATGATCGCTACCAGAGGGTGGAATAAAGAGAGGTTGGTTAATGGGTTCAAAAATACAGTTAGAAGAAATAAGTTTTAGTGTTTGATACCACAGTAGGGTGACTATAGTTAACAATAATTTATGGAATATTTCAAAATATTTATTAATAGAAGATTTGGAAAGTTCCCAACACAAAGAAATAATACATATTTGAGGTGATGGATATCCCATTTACCTAATTTCACCATTACACATTAGGTGCATGCATCAAAATATCACATGTACCCTATAAATATGCATTTATCAATTTTTAAAAGTATAAAAAATTTAGCCAATATTTCAAACATAGAAAAATATAATACAGACATAAAATAAGTATATTCTAAGACTTTTTCTAACTCAAGAGTTACCAGTTTATGGCTTCTATTATACAGAGAACCAATCTCATAAGTTTATTTTTCTCTCTGAAACTACAGAAGCAACAAATTATTTCTAAAAACACGAAGTTCTTTGAAAAGTAGAGAATAGAGACTAATTAGAATAAAATAATGCTGAAAAAAGAAAGACTACAGTACATTCTTGGTATCAGTGACAGACAACATCCAAAGATAAATATAAAATCAGCATTATTCTACTAGCCAGAGCTGTCAGAGTCACTAGGAAATGCAATATTATTTTAAGTCATGCCTGAAAACCTTGACTTTCTTCCTCTTCATTTCCTTTGCCAGCATGCCCAGTAAGTAGCTGGTTTCTTTCTTAACAGAGATTTCTTACATAGAAATAACTTTTCTCACTTTGAGAGGTACAAGTGAGTAGAGAACAATTTGTTATTGTAGCACTGAATGCAGATACTGGAGAGAGGACCAGGCCTGCTCATTATCAAAGTTAGTCAATGATGCACAACAGTTGCCTAGTCCATGATTTATAGTTGTACTTCAGCATAAGAAGAAGTTAGAATACATAATAAACTTTTAAAATCACTTGTGAATATTATTCAAAGCTAGTAATTTAAATCCATGAACAAAAATCCAAAACACAAAACAAAGCAAAAAGATACACACCTATAACCAAGAATATGTTTATATTTTAAATATGAATTAATCAACTGGGTACAGTGGCTCATGCCTGTAATCCCAACACTATGGGAGGCTGAGGTGGGAGGATCACTTCAGGCCAGGAGTTCAAGACCAGCCTGGGCAAGACAGCAAGACCCCATCTCTCTAAAAAAAAAAAAATGTGTATATGTGTGTGTGTGTGTGTGTGTGTGTGTGTGTGTATACACACACACACACACACACATATACATATACATACATATATACACATATATTCATATATACATATATACATACATATATAAATATATATTTATATATACATACATACATATATACTTATATATACATATATACTTACATATAATATATATTTTAAAATGATTTAAAGAATGAGTTAATCTACTAATCAATTATAGAACATATACAGTAAATCACGCTAAAACATGTACATCCTAAATGTTTACATGCATACACTCTCATTAACGTTATGCTTTACAAAAAAATAAGGTTTAAAAAAAATTAAACTGCAACTATATATATATAAAACTTTCAGAATTACTATGAATTACTGATTAAAATAATCCTGATCATGGCCAGGTGTGGTGGCTCATGCCTGTAATCCCAGCAGTTTGGGAGGCTGAGGCGGGCGGATTACCTGAGGTCGGGAGTTCGACACCGGCCTGACCAACATGGAGAAACCCTGTCTCTAATAAAAACACAAAATTAGCCGGGCAGGGTGGCGCATGCCTGTAATCCCAGCTACTTGGGAAGCTGAGGTAGGATAATCGCTTGAACCTGGGAGGCAGAAGTTGTGGTGAGTCGAGACTGCACCATTGTACTGTAGTCTGGGCAACAAGAGCGAAACTCCGTCTCAAAAAAAAACAAAAAAACAAAAAAATCATCATAATGGAAAGAATGAAAAAAAATGAAAATTTGGAAGGCATTTTAAAGGTGATACTGCTTCAAATTTAGATTACAAATGTTAAGAAAGTAAGATCAGACCTCAGAATTTTAAAGAAAAAACTAGTGTGATGAATTATCAATTACGTTAGCTTTTATAAATTTCATGCATTCCTCCAATCTCCACTCACATCTAGCTGAGAATCATCCTCTCAGATTTCAGAAAAAAGGAGTATGTCACAAGGTACAGCATCCTCAAGGCTGTGATTCACCATGTATACATAGGCTGTGAGGCTGTTATAGCCCCTGGAGTATCAGATGGACATTTTCAGCACTGTGTTCAGTCACTATTACTCTCTTCTACAAACTCTAAAACAACAAGAAAACAACATAGAAAAGTAGAACCGGTTTTCAAAGATAATTAGCTCACTTTTTGTGAAGGAACTCTCCAGCTGCCACAGCAACAGGGCGATGTGCCGAGTACACCAAGTGGTAAACATTTTCACAGTCTTCATTGGAAAGAGCTTCTTCACTTCCACTGAAAAATACAGAAAGTAACATCTGATCTAAAGCAAATGTTTATTTTCCTTTCTACTTTTATTTAAACTTGCTAAAGTTCATTATAAAGCTCAAGACTTAATAATTGTTGTCTCATCTTTTATCTTACTTTGAAAGTAATGTTTCCCCTTTAAGTATAAAAGACAATAATGTAAAATTCAGAAAATACAGATTCAACGAGAAGAAAATAAAATGCTCACAATTCTTCTACAGCTTTTTTTTTTTTTTTGAGACAGAGTCTTGCTCTGTCAACTAGGCTGGAGTACAACACCATGATCTTGGCTCACTGCAACCTCTGCCTCCCGGGTTCAACTGATTCTCCTGCCTCAGCCTCCTGAGTAGCTGAGATTACAGGTGCCCAACACCACGCTCAGCTAATTTTTTGTATTTTTAGTAGAAACGGGGTTTCGTCATGTTAGGCAGACTGTTCTCTAACTCCTGATCTCAGATAATCCAGCTGCTACATCCTCCCAAAATGCTGGGATTATAGGTGTGAGTCACTGTGCCTGGCCGCCTTCTAGTCTGTGGGACAGAGCAAGACTCTTGCCTCAAAAAAAAAAAAAAAAAAAAAAAAAAAAGGGAAAAGGAAGAGACAAAACTGAAATTGTTTGCAGGTTATATAATAATATACATACTAAA
This sequence comes from Homo sapiens, assembly GCF_000001405.40. Classification (NCBI taxonomy): domain Eukaryota; kingdom Metazoa; phylum Chordata; class Mammalia; order Primates; family Hominidae; genus Homo; species Homo sapiens. Next base: position 136,465,648 of record NC_000003.12, read on the forward strand.
ACCAACAAAATCAACAAAGTATTAGAATGCATTCTAGGACTCAGAATAAGAGCTCAAATAGGGTCCACATATTAGACCAACACAAAAATTGAAGGTTCTCTTCCTCAGCAATAACCAAGCAGAAAATACTAAATACTATTCTAACAAAAACAGCATAAGGCATTTCAGAATTAACCTACTAACTAATGCATAACCTCTACGAAAAAATTAAACCCTATAAGACCTAATGGTATTTTTAAAAAGAAATCCAGCTGAGCATGGCAGTGCATGCCTGCCATCCCAGCTACTTGTGAGGCTAAGAAAATAGAGGGAAAACTAACAAACAGAAAGGACATCCACACCAAAACCCCATCTGTACGTCACCATCATCAAAGACCAAAGGTAGATAAAACCACAAAGATGGGGAAAAACTGAGCAGAAAAGCTGAAAATTCTAAAAATCAGATCGCCTCTCCCCCTCCAAAGAAACAGAGCTCCTCACCAGCAACAGAACAAAGCTGGACGGAGAATGACTTTCACGAGCTGACAGAAGAAGGCTACAGACGATCAAACTTCTCTCAGCTAAAGGAGGAAGTTGGAGCCCATCGCAAAGAAGCTAAAAACCTTGAAAAAAGACTAGATGAATGGCTAACTAGAATAACCAGCGTAGAGAAGTCCTTAAATGACCTGATGGAGCTGAAAACCATGGCAGGAGAACTACGTGACGAATGCACAAGCTTCAGTAGCCAATTCGATCAACTGGAAGAAAGGGTATCAGTGACTGAAGATCAAATGAATGAAATGAAGTGAGAAGAGAAGTTAAGAGAAAAAAGAGTAAAAAGAAACGAACAAAGCCTCCAAGAAATATGGGACTACGTAAAAAGACCAAATCTACGTCGGATTGGTGTACCTGAAAGTGACAGGAAGAATGGAAACAAGTTGGAAAACACTCTGCAGGATATTATCCAGGAGAACTTCCCCAATCTAGCAAGGCAGGCCAACGTTCAGATTCAGGAAATACAGAGAACGCCACAAAGATACTCCTCGAGAAGAGCAACTCCAAGACACATAATTGTCAGATTCACCAAAGTTGAAATGAAGGAAAAAATGTTAAGGGCAGCCAGAGAGAAAGGTCGGGTTACCCACAAAGGGAAGCCCATCAGACTAACAGTGGATTTCTCAGCAGAAACTGAACAAGCCAGAAGAGAGTGGAAGCCAACATCCAACATTCTTCAAGAAAAGAATTTTCAACCCAGAATTTCATATGCAGCCAAACTAAGCTTCATGAGTGAAGGAGAAATAAAATCCTTTAGAGACAAACAAATGCTAAGAGATTTTGTCACCACCAAGCCTGCCCTACAAGAGCTCCTGAAGGAAGCACTAAACATGGAAAGGAACAACCAGTACCAGCCACTGCAAAAACATGCCAAATTGTAAAGACCATGGATGCTAGAAAGAAACCGCATCAACTAATGAGCAAAATAACCAGCTAACATCATAACGTAACGACAGGATCAAATTCAAACATAACAATATTAACCTTAAATGTAAATGGGCTAAATGCTCCAATTAAAAGACACAGACTGGCAAATTGGATAAAGAGTCAAGACCCATCAGTGTGCTGTATTCAGGAGACCCATCTCACATGCAGAGACACACATAGGCGCAAAATAAAGGGATGGAGGAAGATCTACCAAGCAAATGGAAAACAAAAAAAGGCAGGGGTTGCAATCCTAGTCTCTGATAAAACAGACTTTAAACCAACAAAGACAGAAAGAGACAAAGAAGGCCATTACATAATGGCAAAGGGATCAAGTCAACAAGAAGAGCTAACTATCCTAAATATATATGCACCCAATACAGGAGCACCCAGATTCATAAAGAAAGTCCTAAAAGACCTATAAAGAGAGTTAGACTCCCACACAATAATAATGGGAGACTCTGACACCCCACTGTCAACATTAGACAGATCGATGAGACAGAAAGTTAAAAAGGATATCCAGGAATTGAACTCAGCTCTGCACCAAGCGGAATGAACAGACATCTACAGAACTCTCCACCCCAAATCAACAGAATATACATTCTTCTCAGCACCACATCACACTTATTCCAAAATTGACCACATAGTTGGAAGTAAAGCACTCCTCAGCAAATGTAAAAGAACAGAAATTATAACAAACTGTCTCTCAGACCACAGTGCAATCAAACTAGAACTCAGGATTAAGAAACTCACTCAAAACTGCTCAACTACACGGAAACTAAACAACCTGCTCCTGAATGACTAATGGGTACATAACGAAATGAAGGCAGTAATAAAGATGTTCTTTGAAACCAATGAGAACAAAGGCACAAACCTGAATCTTTGGGACACACTGAAAGCAGTGTGTAGAGGGAAATGTATAGCACTAAATGCCCACAAGAGAAAGCAGGAAAGATCTAAAATTGACAACCTAACATCACAATCGAAAGAACTAGAGAAGGAAGAGCAAACACATTCTAAAGCTAGCAGAAGGCAAGAAATAACTAAGATCAGAGCAGAACTGAAGGAGATAGAGACACAAAAAACTCTTCAAAAAATCAATGAATCTAGGAGCTCGTTTTTTGAAAAGATCAACAAAACTGATAGACCACTAGCAAGACTAATAAAGAAGAAAAGAGAGAAGAATCAAATAGACGCAATAAAAAAGGATAAAGGGGATATCACCACCGATCCCACAGAAATACAAACTACCATCAGAGAATACTATAAACACCTCTACGCAAATAAACTAGAAAATCTGGAAGAAATGGATACATTCCTGGACACATACACCCTCCCAAGACTAAACCAGGAAGAAGCTGAATCCCTGAATAGACCAATAACAGGCTCTGAAATTGAGACAATACTTAATAGCCTACCAACCAAAAAAAGTCCAGGACCAGATGGATTCACAGTCGAATTCTACCAGAGGTACAAGGAGGAGCTGGTACCATTCCTTCTGAAACTATTCCAATCAACAGAAAAAGAGGGAATCCTCCCTAACTCTCCCTGTTATGTCCCTGGCAGACACATAACAAAAAAAGAGAATTTTAGACCAATATCCCTGATGAACATTCACGCAAATATCCTCAATAAAATACTGGCAAACCGAATCCAGCAGCACATCAAAAAGCTTAGCCACCATGATCAAGTTGGCTTCATCCCTGGGATGCAAGGCTGGTTCAATATACACAAATCAATAAATGTAATCCAGCATATGAACAGAACCAAAGACAAAAACGACATGATTATCTCAATACATGCAGAAAAGGCCTTTGACAAAATTCAACAACGCTTCATGCTAAAAACTCTCAATACATTAGGTATTGATGGGACGTATCTCAAAATAATAAGAGCTATTTATGACAAACCCACACCCAATATCATACTGAATGGGCAAAAACTGAAAGCATTCCCTTTGAAAACTGGCACAAGACAGGGATGCCCTCTCTCACCACTCCTATTCAACATAGTGTTGGAAGTTCTGGCCAGGGCAATCAGGCAGGAGAAGGAAATAAAGGGTATTCAATTAGGAAAAGAGGAAGTCAAATTGTCCCTGTTTGCAGACAGGATTGTATATTTAGAAAACCCCATCGTCTCAGCCCAAAATCTCCTTAAGCTGATAAGCAACTTCAGCAAAGTCTCAGGATACAAAATCAATGTACAAAAATCACAAGCATTCTTATACACCAGTAACAGACAAACAGAGAGCCAAATCACGAGTGAACTCCCATTCACAATTGCTTCAAAGAGAATAAAATACCTAGGAATCCAACTTACAAGGGATGTGAAGGACCTCTTCAAGGAGAACTACAAACCACTGCTCAATGAAATAAAAGACGACACAAACAAATGGAAGAACATTCCATGCTCATGGATAGGAATAATCAATATCGTGAAAATGGCCATACTGCCCAAGGTAATTTATAGATTCAATGCCATCCCCATCAAGCTACCAATGACTTTCTTCACAGAATTGGAAAAAACTACATTAAAGTTCATATGGAACCAAAAAAGAGCTTGCATTGCCAAGACAATCCTAAGCCAAAAGAACAAAGCTGGAGGCATCAGGCTATCTGACTTCAAACTATACTACAAGGCTACAGTAACCAAAACAGCATGGTACTGGTACCAAAACAGAGATATAGACCAATGGAACAGAACAGAGCCCTCACAAATAATATCACACATCTACAACTATCTGATCTTTGACAAACCTGACAAAAACAAGCAATGGGGAAAGGATTCCCTATTTAATGAATGGTGCTGGGAAAACTGGCTAGCCACATGTAGAAAGCTGAAACTGGATCCCTTCCTTACACCTTATAGAAAAATTAATTCAAGATGGATTAAAGACTTCAATGTTAGACCTAAAACCATAAAAACCCTAGAAGAAAACTTAGGCAATACCATTCAGGACATAGGCATGGGCAAGGACTTCATGTCTAAAACACCAAAAGAAATGGCAACAAAAGCCAAAACTGACAAATGGGATCCAATTAACCTAAAGAGCTTCTGCACAGCAAAAGAAACTACCATCAGAGTGAACAGGCAACCTACAGAATGGGAGAAAATTTTCACAATCTACTCATCTGACAAAAGGCTAATATCCAGAATTTACAAAGAACTCAAACAAATTTACAAGAGAAAAACAAACAACCCCATCAAAAAGTGGGCAAAGGATATGAACAGACACTTCTGAAAAGAAGACATTTATGCAGCCAACAGACACGTGAAATAATGCTCATCATCACTGGCCATCAGAGAAATGCAAATCAAAACCACAATGAGATACCATCTCACACCAGTTACAATGGCGATCATTAAAAAGTTAGGAAACAACAGATGTTGGAGAGGATGGGGAGAAATAGGAACACTTTTACACTGTTGGTAGGACTGTAAACTAGTTCAACCATTGTGGAAGACAGTGTGGCGATTCCTCAAGGATCTAGAACTAGAAATACCATTTGACCCAGCCATCCCATTACTGGGTATATACCCAAAGGATTATAATCATGCTGCTTTAAGACACATGCATACATATGTTTATTGCGGCACTATTCACAATAGCAAAGACTTAGAACCAACCCAAATGTCCATCAATGATAGACTGGATTAAGAAAATGTGGCACCTATACACCATGGAATAGTATGCAGCCATAAAAAGGATGAGTTCATGTCCTTTGTAGGGACATGGATGAAGCTGGAAACCATCATTCTCAGGAAACTATCACAAGGACAAAAAACCAAACACTGCATGTTCTCACTCATAGGTGGGAATTGAACAATGAGAACACTTGGACGCAGGAAGGGGACCATCACACACTGGGGACTGTTGTGGGGTGGGGGGAGGGATAGCATTAGGAGATATACCTAATGTAAATGACGAGTTAGTGAGTGCAGCACACCAACACGGCACATGTATACATATGTAACAAAGCTGCACATTGTGCACATGTACCCCAGAAGTTAAATTAAAAAAAAAAAAAGAGGATCACCTCAGTTCAGGAGTTAGCAGTTTTAATGTGCTATGATCACATCTGTTAACACACTCCAGCATGAGAAACATAGTAAGAATACTTCTCTTTAAAAAAGATGAGAATTCCAGCATTTTCATGCATAAGTGATATAACATAGCAAAGTACTTTAAACTCTCCTAAATTCATCATAGAAGTCAATGGAGTTCTAATATTCAAAATTCCAGGCAAAGTTTTTGAGGCACTTGACAAGTATATTTTTAAAATTCATATCAAACAAAAATCAGACACAAGAAGGTAACTAGATTTTGAAAAAAAAGACAAAGAGGAGAAAATGACCCTATATTTAGAACATATATTATAAAGCCACAATAATAAAGAGCATGGTGTTAGAGCCAAAATGTAAAAGGATTTCAAACAACAGTAGATCCCTGCATACATATTTAGTTCGTGATAGATGTACCATCACAAAGTAGGGAGAGGAGGATTTGTTATGTATGACTTTGCTAGGATATATTCTCTCACATAGATTCTTGCTAGTTTTTAGTCAAACCTGTAGAAATACAGCTATAACATTATTATTTTGAAATCTCTATCATTAGTGAGACAATTTAATTGCTTTATTTTTTTCTTCTACTTCTATATCATTAAAAAGAAGCCTATTTGGGAAACTGTCCCTTTGAGGGTTCTTCCTTTTGCAGTCTTCTTTCTCTCTGAGTTATTTATTTATTTTTGACACAGGGTCCTGCTATATCACCTATGCTGGAATGCAGTGGCTCCATTACGACTCACTGCAGCTTTGACCTTCTGGGCTCAAGCGACCCTCCCACCTTAGCCTCCTAAGTAGCTAGGACAACAGGCATGTGCCACCATGCCAGTTAATTTTTTTAATCATTTGTAGAGACAGGGTCTCCCCTTTTGCCCAGGCTGGTCTTGAACCCCTGGGCTCAAGTGATCCTCCCGCCTTGGCCTTCCAAAATGCTGGGATTTTAGGCAGGAGCCAACATACTGGGCCTGCTTTGTTTTAAACAGAAAGGTAAGTTACATCATTGGTATTTTCTCTAGGCTGCATAAAATAATTTTTATGTGGAAGAAGTAAACAATAGTGAAAATAAAAAACAAAAATAGAAAAAAACAGAAAACACTTTTTAAATCTAACGTTAAAATGTAAAAGTTGAACCTAAAATGATAAACATATACATAAGGACTATATATAGATAGGACATTAAAAATCCTGGGGAAAAGGTATTAAAATATCAATAAAGTTAAAATAGTAATGGATATTACTTACTGAAGTATCAGAGTAACCAATCGAATAGCTTCCACAGCAACATCATATTCTTTATCAAGTGTCATTGATACAATGCGATCCTGAGAAAAAAAAGTTGTAAAACAAACCAACTATGAACAGAAAATAAGCTGGGACAGATCTAATATAATGTATTCTGGGATATATATGCAATACTAATGATAGGTTAAATAAAAAGCTTTACTCTTGAAACTGCAGTATTGTAGTCCTACTCACACAAAGGGGATGTTAGTATAAATGTTTGTAATTTAAAATCTTTCTCAACAATTGCTGTTCCCTAAACCTTGTGTCAAGGAAGCCTTAACATACAAAATTACTATCTTTATAACAAGCTGTAAAGAAAATTTTAAGCAGGTAAGCCTTCTTCCAAAGGTAATAAATAAGAACTCATGGTAATATCTTTTGTAAAGCAGAGATTCACTTATCAATTTCATATGGGTTTATTTAAAGAACATGTAGTAAAAGCAGGGGTCCCCAATCCTGGTCTGTAACCTGTTAGGAACTGGGCCACACAGCAAGGGGTTAGTGGTGTGGGAGCAAGTGAGCCAGTGAAGTTTCATCTGTATTTACAGCTGTTCTCCATCACTCCCACTATTGCCTGAGCTCCAAGTCTTGTCAAATCAGCAGTGGCATTAGATTCTCAATAGGAACAACAGGAACATGAACCCTACTGTGAACTGCGCATGCAAGGGATCTACGTTGTGTGCTCCTTATGAGAATCTAATGCCTGATGATCTGTTACTGTCTCCCATCACCCCTAGATGGGAACATCTAGTTGCAGGAAAACAAGTTCAGGGCTGCAATGATTCTACCTTATGGTGAGTTGTATAATTGTTTCATTACATATTACAATGTAATAACAACAGAAATAAAGTGCCCAATAAATGTAATGCACTTGAATCATCCCGAAACCATCCCCTCAACCCCCACCTTGGTCCACAGAAAAACTGTCTTCCATGAAACTGGTCCCTGGTGCCAAAAAGGTTGGGGACTGCTGTAATAAAGAATATGAACTAAACACTTGTATGATAATGTAATTTGCTAAACTAGCTGTAACTAGCATTTGTAAAGAGAAAAATTAAATAAGCTTATCATTCTTGATGCTTACCTTGAATCGGTTAGTGAATAGTTCCAATTTGGGGAATAATTCTCTATTGGTATATAGACTCTGCAGAGCTTTCAAACACTTCAGCCTGACTTCCCCTTGCTTCAGAAATACAAATAAAAGCACAACAGAAGGAGTCAATTCCATACTACAATTTTCAAGTCTATATGAAGACTAAAATTTAGCTTAAACATTTGACTTACTGCATATTGTAATTCAACATAGGATGAGACTGAACAATTGTATAGTGTGTGTTGCCCTTATATGTAAAAAAAAAAAAAAATTCACTGAAAAGACCTTAGTTACTTGAGAGTAAGTTATGCCTATTTTAAATATTTATCAACGCTGACTCAACATGTGGTATAACCCACGTCATCCAGAGGCACAAAGAGAGAATTTTAAACCTATAATTAGGGAAAAGTATGTTTATTTGTCCTTTATGTAATTATTGAATAATTCTGTGGAAAAACCTGATTTTTATACAAAATGGTCATCATTTATTCATGCAACAAATATTTACTGGATTCAATTTATATTCCAGGGACAGCAGTTAGCAAAACAGAAATAGCACAATGTTTAAAACAGAGGCAAAATGATACATGAAGAGTCCTGGGAGTGCTATTTATTAGTGGAATGTCTTTAATAAAGTCATCAACTTGGCGTACAGGATGTTGATGATCAAAATGCATTCAGGATCACCTAGAAATCTAGACAAGTCTCTCAAAAGATTTAAAGGGGATTAGTTTCTATCCTCTGAAAGAAGCTATGTGCTGTAACAGCAGGAGACCAAGTTCTGGAATCAGATACAACTAAATTTTAGTTCCAATTCTATATAATTTATTAGCTACATGCAAGATGTTAAGTATATTATTAATCACCCTGATACTCAGGTTTCTTGTTTATAAAATTATCGTAGGGATTAAGTGCAGAGATATGCTGGTAAAAGTTTTAACAAAGAGCTCTGAGGAATAGGGTTCTGATTTGTTCTCTTTGCAGATTTATTTAATGTAAATAGTGCCTTCATAGCCAATATTAAGTTATTGATGAGATGTCAATGAACTCATTTATGGAGATGCATAATCACTCTTTTGTAAGCTGATTCAAGCCTACAGTAGCATACATACCATGAGATGTGCTATGAGATAACGTAATATTTGTTGGTAAGTCCCTAGCACACAAGCGAAAGCTGAAGTGCCTGTGGCAGGTGCTGCTGATGCCCTACCCAGGTCCCCTTTACTGGGCTAATTCTTCAGTGTCTGCCAGTGTTAACTGCTAATGGTTCAATATCTCTATCTTTCTCTGGAGAATGGACCACGGTTTACTAGAACCACCTAGCACATAGACCCCTAGGAGGTTATGCTCCATCTTTCCTCTCCCAACCACTTCCCTTCTCTCGCCCAGGTTGAGGCCCATAGCCAGTAAAGAAAGATACAGGGGTGAAACAGCCCAGCCTCCTTGCTTCTGTACAGGATACCCTCTAAGGTACAATTTACTCTCCCAATCTCCCTGTGAGATCAGGTTGAGATTAGACTTCTCCTGAAACCACATTTTCATTAGTCTGTTTCCTGCTTTGTCATACTTTCCTCACTTTTTTATAGGTTCCTTTTTTTTTTTTTTTTTTTTTTTTTGAGGCAGAGTCTTGCTCTTGTCACCCAGGCTGGAGTACAGTGGTGTGATTTCAGCTCACTGCAACCTCCGCCTCCCAGGTTCAAGTGATTCTCTTGTCTCAGCCTCCCGAGTAGCTGAAATTACAGGTGCCCACCACCATGCCCAGCAAAGTTTTCCATTTTTAGTAGAGACAGGGTTTTGCCATGCTGGCCAGGCTGGTCTCGAACTCCTGACCTCAGGTGATCCGCCTGTCTCTGCCTCCCAAAATGCTGAGATTACAGGTGTGAGTCATCATGCCCAGCCAACAGGTTACTCTTGAGAGTACAAACCTCGCAACATCACCAGCACAAAAATCCCCAACTCAGGCTTGGCATCCAGGGAATGTGATCTATGAGAGCTGGAACCAAGAGTGGTCCTGGGAATCAGACTTCAATAATGGGATTCTGGGATTGGATTACTGAAGGCTGGATTGCTATGAGGTAAGACTCAATGGTGGTAGATGAAGTCTTGATAGTTCCTGACGTAGGACAGCAGTTTGTTAGGATTTTCACTTTTAGTTGAAAGTGGATGTGCATTAACTTGTACAACATTTCTACACTGGAGGGAGCAGAGCAAATAGTAACTGTAAAAACTGTGAAGTTAAGTGGCTATTGCTAAGTGTCACTGAAAGGCTAAAGAGAAAATGACAGGGCCAGGGTGTTTCATCACCAGTTCAAAGCCAAGTGTTGCCTCTTTGGAAACATTTATTTCCTTTAGAAAGAGAACTGATGATACTAAAGACCAGGCCTAGCACTAAATTGTAAGTGTGACAGAATTTAAGAACTCTGAATCCCAGGCAAGTCTCTTATGTCAAAATAAGAGTTATGATATGAAAAAAGTGAAGTCTAAAGGATATCTGGGTAGATGCAGTGAGAATCTTGAACTCCCCATTTCCTCTGAATTTGTAGGCCTGAAAATATGGCTCATGCCCACTTGTTAGAGGATAGTATGTTTCCTCCTTACTCCATCCTTTGCTGAAAGACTACCTGGAAGCCTCAAATAAGGCAGGTGCCTATAGGACAATGCTAGTAGCCCTTGTCTTGATATAATACACAGACCTTCCTCCTGGTCATGAGACTAAGGACAAATCTCAGCACAGACCAAATGGAAAATTTGGCTCCCAGGAGCAATGGAGATGTGAAGATCCCAGAAGAGCAGAGAGAACAAAGCTTCTCCTGACCATCATAGTCAAGGGGGGTGGGAACACAATAATTGCAATAGGCAGTAACTGAAGGGCAACCCATAGGGATTTATGGAACTTGCTCAATGAATATGGTATTCCAGGGGGCAAGACAGGTGGAAAGCAAACAAAAGTATTACGTAACATGTATAATGAAAGGATCAACAATGGATGAGCAAAAGGCTGAGGACAGCTGTTCTCTGTAAAGTCACCACAGGAACTTCTTAACAATTAAATAAGGTAGTATTCATGAAAAATACTTCAGAAAACTGTAAAATAACTTATAATGGGAATGAAAATTCCAGTTGCTTTTATGATAAGTGCTCTACTTTGGGGCTCTAATATACTCTAATATTATTTCTATTACAGTACGTAAATGCCACACCTGGCCAAATTCCAATAACTTATCACTCCTACCCATGGTTATTCTAAGGATTACTTATTCAGGATTACTTATATGAGGGATTCCTTTTAAAGTCAGAAGGCAGAATTAGATTTTTAGATCAAATATTCTAAAATCCAACAAATCTATTCAAGTCTGATAAAGCACTCTACTATGATATGGTCCTAGAAAATTTTTTTTAAAAAAAAGCTTAGTTTTTATATATTAAGAAAAAAGAAATCTCCTTTGATTCTGAATTAGAAAAAGAATATAATGATTTTCTTTCTCTGAAAACTTTATATATACCAGGTTGTCAAACTTGGTTCAAGACAATATTGTAACTAAACAAGATAGGGTCTTCACCCCTGGGCAAATGCTTCCAGTTTCATCACAATCATCAAGTAAATAGTTATTCAGCTGCATCATCTTAAAATTTCCACATGATTACAACTCCTGAAAAATCAACTACTGTCATTTTGATTCCCAGCATTTTAGTACTGAGACAAACATAACTTCCATCAAAGCTTAGAACAGAGTAACTTACCCTGTCATGAAGAGTCCAGCCAACATATTTTAGGTAACTGTCATTTAGGAAGGCATCACTATACATTTTCATCCATACTCCAATTTCTTCAATACAAATGGCTCTAATCTCAGCAATAGCATCACTAGAGAGAGAAAAAAAAGACAATCTCAAATTAATATACAAAGCTAGAATGCATTCATACTCGCTTTCCATAAGCAATAAATATTTCTAATGCTGTTTGTATATATTTGCATTCTGAATGGCCTCCAACTTAAGTATCTTCTGTTTTTCATGTTTTCTATAAAATAAACACTAATAATACCAAACTGGAAAAAAAAAGCTTCTATTAAACTATTTTGACCCAATTACTCTATTTTCACTGGGCTAGACAATGACATTTGGAGCTTTCTGAGAGCCTCACAACTATTACAGAGCCAAGAAACATGTTAAACTTTCTAAGAAAATCAGAGTCACAACATCCAAGTACAGAATAATGTTTCTCAAAAGAACTGTTAATCTTTTTTTAAAAAATTATTATTAAATGGAGTCTTGCTCTGTCGCTCATGCTGGAGTGCAGTGGCATGATTTCGGCTGACTGCAACCTCTGCCTCCAGGTTCAAGTGATTCTCCTGCCTCAGCCACCCAAGTAGCTGAGACTACAGGTGCAAGCCACCACACCTGAGTAATTTTTGTATTTTTAGTAGAGATGGGGTTTCATCATATTGGCCAGGGTGGTCTTGAACTCCTGACCTCAAGTGATCCACCCACCTCGGCCTCCCAAAGTGCTGGGATTACACGCGTGAGCCACTGTGACCGGCCAGAACTGGGAATCTTTATAAGCTAGCACACATGTAATGAATTAAAAGAAAAAGCCCACTTTATTCAAGGCACAGGTCTTTCATCTGTAATAATATATTTTTTAGGCTGAGACGGAAGAATCCACCTCTAGTGACAATGGTAACCATCTTGGTGACAATACTGCGAAGTCATGGCAGAACAACCCGAAAAGTCAGAATTCTGGCTCATTGCCTAGATGGCTTTTCACCTCACCATAAGTAAGCATCCAATATAACCCTCCTGGGATGACTTTCCTACTATACAATCTCTGTGAATTGTAAACAAATACAATGTTAACACTTTTATAATCTTTCATCACAAGGTTATTAGCCTTAGCTTTAAGAAAAAAATATTAACTATAATATCATAAATCCTAATTTTCTTCTGTAGATCAATCTTCAAGGTTTCTGATTTACCATTCACAAATGTTAAAATTTTAAGTAATTTTTAATTATCCAATTTACAAAAGGCAATAATCTATCATTTTAGCTAAAATTTTAATGATAATTAAGGCACTTTTCTTAGTTTCTCTTTGGTGACAAAATTCCTTGCTCTAATAAGTCTCAGTTCTCTCTAGGCTCCTGTCATTGCTTAAGGATAAAAACAGGGAAAACATTCTCTTTCCAAGCCATACTGCCAATTACAACCTTTAGTTTTCCTACATTTTTTGATAGTATCTTTTTCTCATGGAGAGGCTGTACAACATAGTGGCTAAAAGTACAGGCTCTGGAGGAAGACATCCTGAGTTCAAATCCTGGTTCTGCTATTTACTAGCTGTGTGACCTTGGGTATTTCCCTTTTTCTTAGGTTTCCTCATCTCTAAAATAGTGGTAATAATACCACCTAGCTCACAGTTACTATGAGAATAAAATCACTTAATACAAATAGAAGACTTAGAATTCTACCTGGCATCCATTAATCCTTCCATTAAATGTTGGCTATTATAATCTTTCTTTTTTTTTTTTTTTTAATTTTTTTTTTTATTATACTTTAAGTTTTAGGGTACATGTGCACATTGTGCAGGTTAGTTACATATGTATACATGTGCCATGCTGGTGCGCTGCACCCACCAACGTGTCATCTAGCATTAGGTATATCTCCCAATGCTATCCCTCCCCCCTCCCCTGACCCCACCACCGTCCCCAGAGTGTGATATTCCCCTTCCTGTGTCCTTGTGATCTCATTGTTCAATTCCCACCTATGAGTGAGAATATGCGGTGTTTGGTTTTTTGTTCTTGCGATAGTTTACTGAGAATGATGGTTTCCAATTTCATCCATGTCCCTACAAAGGACATGAACTCATCACTTTTTATGGCTGCATAGTATTCCATGGTGTATATGTGCCACATTTTCTTAATCCAGTCTATCATTGTTGGACATTTGGGTTGGTTCCAAGTCTTTGCTATTGTGAATAGTGTCGCAATAAACATACGTGTGCATGTGTCTTTATAGCAGCATGATTTATAGTCCTTTGGGTATATATCCAGTAACGGGATGGCTGGGTCAAATGGTATTTCTAGTTCTAGATCCCTGAGGAATCGCCACACTGACTTCCACAATGGTTGAACTAGTTTACAGTCCCACCAACAGTGTAAAAGTGTTCCTATTTCTCCACATCCTCTCCAGCACCTGTTGTTTCCTGACTTTTTAATGATTGCCATTCTAACTGGTGTGAGATGATATCTCATAGTGGTTTTGATTTGCATTTCTCTGATGGCCAGTGATGATGAGCATTTTTTCATGTGTTTTTTGGCTGCATAAATGTCTTCTTTTGAGAAGTGTCTGTTCATGTCCTTCGCCCACTTTTTGATGGGGTTGTTTGTTTTTTTCTTGTAAATTTGTTTGAGTTCATTGTAGATTCTGGATATTAGCCCTTTGTCAGATGAGTAGGTTGCGAAAATTTTCTCCCATGTTGTAGGTTGCCTGTTCACTCTGATGGTAGTTTCTTTTGCTGTGCAGAAGCTCTTTAGTTTAATTAGATCCCATTTGTCAATTTTGGCTTTTGTTGCCATTGCTTTTGGTGTTTTGGACATGAAGTCCTTGCCCACGCCTATGTCCTGAATGGTAATGCCTAGGTTTTCTTCTAGGGTTTTTATGGTTTTAGGTCTAACGTTTAAATCTTTAATCCATCTTGAATTGATTTTTGTATAAGGTGTAAGGAAGGGATCCAGTTTCAGCTTTCTACATATGGCTAGCCAGTTTTCCCAGCACCATTTATTAAATAGGGAATCCTTTCCCCATTGCTTGTTTTTCTCAGGTTTGTCAAAGATCAGATAGTTGTAGATATGCGGCATTATTTCTGAGGGCTCTGTTCTGTTCCATTGATCTATATCTCTGTTTTGGTACCAGTACCATGCTGTTTTGGTTACTGTAGCCTTGTAGTATAGTTTGAAGTCAGGTAGTGTGATGCCTCCAGCTTTGTTCTTTTGGCTTAGGATTGACTTGGCGATGCGGGCTCTTTTTTGGTTCCATATGAACTTTAAAGTAGTTTTTTCCAATTCTGTGAAGAAAGTCATTGGTAGCTTGATGGGGATGGCATTGAATCTGTAAATTACCTTGGGCAGTATGGCCATTTTCACGATATTGATTCTTCCTACCCATGAGCATGGAATGTTCTTCCATTTGTTTGTGTCGTCTGTTATTTCCTTGAGCAGTGGTTTGTAGTTCTCCTTGAAGAGGTCCTTCACATCCCTTGTAAGTTGGATTCCTAGGTATTTTATTCTCTTTGAAGCAATTGTGAATGGGAGTTCACTCATGGTTTGGCTCTCTGTTTGTCTGTTGTTGGTGTATAAGAATGCTTGTGATTTTTGTACATTGATTTTGTATCCTGAGACTTTGCTGAAGTCGCTTATCAGCTTAAGGAGATTTTGGGCTGAGACGATGGGGTTTTCTAGATATACAATCATGTCGTCTGCAAACAGGGACAATTTGACTTCCTCTTTTCCTAATTGAATACCCTTTATTTCCTTCTCCTGCCTGATTGCCCTGGCCAGAACTTCCAACACTATGTTGAATAGGAGCGGTGAGAGAGGGCATCCCTGTCTTGTGCCAGTTTTCAAAGGGAATGCTTCCAGTTTTTGCCCATTCAGTATGATATTGGCTGTGGGTTTGTCATAGATAGCTCTTATTATTTTGAAATACGTCCCATCAATACCTAATTTATTGAGAGTTTTTAGCATGAAGGGTTGTTGAATTTTGTCAAAGGCTTTTTCTGCATCTATTGAGATAATCATGTGGTTTTTGTCTTTGGCTCTGTTTATATGCTGGATTACATTTATTGATTTGCGTATATTGAACCAGCCTTGCATCCCAGGGATGAAGCCCACTTGATCATGGTGGATAAGCTTTTTGATGTGCTGCTGGATTCGGTTTGCCAGTATTTTATTGAGGATTTTTGCGTCAATGTTCATCAAGGATATTGGTCTAAAATTCTCTTTTTTGGTTGTGTCTCTGCCCGGCTTTGGTATCAGAATGATGCTGGCCTCATAAAATGAGTTAGGGAAGATTCCCTCTTTTTCTATTGATTGGAATAGTTTCAGAAGGAATGGTACCAGTTCCTCCTTGTACCTCTGGTAGAATTCGGCTGTGAATCCATCTGGTCCTGGACTCTTTTTGGTTGGTAAACTATTGATTATTGCCTCAATTTCAGAGCCTGTTATTGGTCTATTCAGAGATTCAACTTCTTCCTGGTTTAGTCTTGGGAGAGTGTATGTGTCGAGGAATGTATCCATTTCTTCTAGATTTTCTAGTTTATTTGCGTAGAGGTGTTTGTAGTATTCTCTGATGGTAGTTTGTATTTCTGTGGGATCGGTGGTGATATCCCCTTTATCATTTTTTATTGCGTCTATTTGATTCTTCTCTTTTTTCTTTATTACTCTTGCTAGCGGTCTATCAATTTTGTTGATCCTTTCAAAAAACCAGCTCCTGGATTCATTGATTTTTTGAAGGGTTTTTTGTGTCTCTATTTCCTTCAGTTCTGCTCTGATTTTAGTTATTTCTTGCCTTCTGCTAGCTTTTGAATGTGTTTGCTCTTGCTTTTCTAGTTCTTTTAATTGTGATGTTAGGGTGTCAATTTTGGATCTTTCCTGCTTTCTCTTGTAGGCATTTAGTGCTATAAATTTCCCTCTACACACTGCTTTGAATGCGTCCCAGAGATTCTGGTATGTGGTGTCTTTGTTCTCGTTGGTTTCAAAGAACATCTTTATTTCTGCCTTCATTTCGTTATGTACCCAGTAGTCATTCAGGAGCAGGTTGTTCAGTTTCCATGTAGTTGAGCGGCTTTGAGTGAGATTCTTAATCCTGAGTTCTAGTTTGATTGCACTGTGGTCTGAGAGATAGTTTGTTATAATTTCTGTTCTTTTACATTTGCTGAGGAGAGCTTTACTTCCAACTATGTGGTCAATTTTGGAATAGGTGTGGTGTGGTGCTGAAAAAACTGTATATTCTGTTGATTTGGGGTGGAGAGTTCTGTAGATGTCTATTAGGTCTGCTTGGTGCAGAGCTGAGTTCAATTCCTGGGTATCCTTGTTGACTTTCTGTCTCGTTGATCTGTCTAATGTTGACAGTGGGGTGTTAAAGTCTCCCATTATTAATGTGTGGGAGTCTAAGTCTCTTTGTAGGTCACTCAGGACTTGCTTTATGAATCTGGGTGCTCCTGTATTGGGTGCATAAATATTTAGGATAGTTAGCTCCTCTTGTTGAATTGATCCCTTTACCATTATGTAATGGCCTTCTTTGTCTCTTTTGATCTTTGTTGGTTTAAAGTCTGTTTTATCAGAGACTAGGATTGCAACCCCTGCCTTTTTTTGTTTTCCATTGGCTTGGTAGATCTTTCTCCATCCTTTTATTTTGAGCCTATGTGTGTCTCTGCACGTGAGATGGGTTTCCTGAATACAGCACACTGATGGGTCTTGACTCTTTATCCAACTTGCCAGTCTGTGTCTTTTAATTGCAGAATTTAGTCCATTTATATTTAAAGTTAATATTGTTATGTGTGAATTTGATCCTGTCATTATGATGTTAGCTGGTGATTTTGCTCGTTAGTTGATGCAGTTTCTTCCTAGTCTCGATGGTCTTTACATTTTGGCATGATTTTGCAGCGGCTGGTACCGGTTGTTCCTTTCCATGTTTAGCGCTTCCTTCAGGAGCTCTTTTAGGGCAGGCCTGGTGTTGACAAAATCTCTCAGCATTTGCTTGTCTATAAAGTATTTTATTTCTCCTTCACTTATGAAGCTTAGTTTGGCTGGATATGAAATTCTGGGTTGAAAATTCTTTTCTTTAAGAATGTTGAATATTGGCCCCCACTCTCTTCTGGCTTGTAGGGTTTCTGCCGAGAGATCCGCTGTTAGTCTGATGGGCTTTCCTTTGAGGGTAACCTGACCTTTCTCTCTGGCTGCCCTTAACATTTTTTCCTTCATTTCAACTTTGGTGAATCTGACAATTATGTGTCTTGGAATTGCTCTTCTCGAGGAGTATCTTTGTGGCGTTCTCTGTATTTCCTGAATCTGAACGTTGGCCTGCCTTGCTAGATTGGGGAAGTTCTCCTGGATAATATCCTGCAGAGTGTTTTCCAACTTGGTTCCATTCTCCACATCACTTTCAGGTACACCAATCAGACGTAGATTTGGTCTTTTCACATAGTCCCATATTTCTTGGAGGCTTTGCTCATTTCTTTTTATTCTTTTTTCTCTAAACTTCCCTTCTCGCTTCATTTCATTCATTTCATCTTCCATTGCTGATACCCTTTCTTCCAGTTGATCGCATCGGCTCCTGAGGCTTCTGCATTCTTCACGTAGTTCTCGAGCCTTGGTTTTCAGCTCCATCAGCTCCTTTAAGCACTTCTCTGTATTGGTTATTCTAGTTATACATTCTTCTAAATTTTTTTCAAAGTTTTCAACTTCTTTGCCTTTGGTTTGAATGTCCTCCCGTAGCTCAGAGTAATTTGATCGTCTGAAGCCTTCTTCTCTCAGCTCGTCAAAATCATTCTCCATCCAGCTTTGTTCCGTTGCTGGTGAGGAACTGCGTTCTTTTGGAGGAGGAGAGGCGCTCTGCGTTTTAGAGTTTCCAGTTTTTCTGTTCTGTTTTTTCCCCATCTTTGTGGTTTTATCTACTTTTGGTCTTTGATGATGGTGATGTACAGATGGGTTTTCTGTTAGATGTCCTTTCTGGTTGTTAGTTTTCCTTCTAACAGACAGGACCCTCAGCTGCAGGTCTGTTGGAATACCCTGCCGTGTGAGGTGTCAGTGTGCCCCTGCTGTGGGGTGTCTCCCAGTTAGGCTGCTCGGGGGTCAGGGGTCAAGGACCCAATTGAGGAGGCAGTCTGCCCGTTCTCAGATCTCCAGCTGCGTGCTGGGAGAACCACTGCTCTCTTCAAAGCTGTCAGACAGGGACACTTAAGTCTGCAGAGGTTACTGCTGTCTTTTTGTTTGTCTGTGCCCTGCCCCCAGAGGTGGAGCCTACAGAGGCAGGCAGGCCTCCTTGAGCTGTGGTGGGCTCCACCCAGTTCGAGCTTCCTGGCTGCTTTGTTTACCTAAGCAAGCCTGGGCAATGGCGGGCGCCCCTCCCCCAGCCTCGTTGCCGCCTTGCAGTTTGATCTCAGACTGCTGTGCCAGCAATCAGCGAGATTCCGTGGGCGTAGGACCCTCTGAGCCAGGTGTGGGATATAGTCTCCTGGTGCGCCGTTTTTTAAGCCGGTCTGAAAAGCGCAATATTCGGGTGGGAGTGACCCGATTTTCCAGGTGCGTCTGTCACCCCTTTCTTTGACTCGGAAAGGGAACTCCCTGACCCTTGCGCTTCCCAGGTGAGGCAATGCCTCGCCCTGCTTCGGCTCGCGCACGGTGCGCGCACACACTGGCCTGTGCCCACTGTCTGGCACTCCCTAGTGAGATGAACCCGGTACCTCAGATGGAAATGCAGAAATCACCCGTCTTCTGCGTCGCTCACGCTGGGAGCTGTAGACCGGAGCTGTTCCTATTCGGCCATCTTGGCTCCTCCCTCCTATTATAATCTTTCATTTGTTTCATCAATCTAGACATTTATAATGAATACAGTATAAAAAGTAGCTCTACTGGCCAGGCACAGTGGCTCACGCCTGTAATCCCAGCACTTTGGGAGGCTGAGGTGGGCAGATCACGAAGTCAGGAGATCGAGAACATCCTGGCAAACATGGTGAAACACCATCTCTACTAAAAATACAAAAAATTAGCTGGGCGTGGTGGTGGGCACCTGTAGTCCCAGCTACTCGAGAGGCTGAGGCAGGAGAATCGTTTGAACCCAGGAGGCGGAGGTTGCAGTAAGCCGAGATCACGCCACTGCACTCCAGCCTGGGTGACAGAGTGAGATTCTGTCTAAAAAGAAAAAAAAAGTAGCTCTACTATAAACTGTGAGGTGTTCCTAGACCTACATAATACTGAACATGCGTGGGACAAGAATATTTCTTTTTTCAGACAAAAAATTTCAGACATAAAACAAGGTATAGGGGACAATATAATGAATAACTGCATATATCCACTGCTCAGCTAAGAAATATAATACAGTTAAAAATTCCTATATACGTCTGATACATCTCCCTTCCCAAGAGTAAATGACTGTCCTTGATTCAGTGAATATCAATTCCATCTCTGTTTAACGTCATATGTATTGTTTTACATAAATATTATCCTGTAGGCCTCCTTCTACAACTTGCTTTTTTCACAAATCATATTTTGCAATTTATGCATACTGGTTTATAAAGCTCTGATGTTTTAATTTTAGCCAGTGTCCACTGTTCCTTTCTATAAACAATTATAAATTACATATTCTCTCATAAATGGAAATTTAAGTTGTTTCCAAGGTTTTGCTTTTACTAACAATGAGTCCATGAATATTCTTGTATGTTTCTCCCTGTGCAGATATGTGGGAGTTTCCTTAGAGCAGTGTTTTTAAAATACTGCATCGGGACCCATTAGCACATTATAAAATTGATTCAGTGAGTGGCAACAAATACATAAAAGTATATAGGACAGAAAATACCAAAATGCTCCACATGTAGTAGGCAAGTAAGTATTCTTTCTTGAAGCTACTGTGTACCTAATGTAGGACATAGTCAACAACATCTGTGAGACACTGTTTTGATACCTACAAGTGAAATTATTGGGTTAGAAGCAATGCACATCTTCAACATTATTAGATATTTAAAAATGTCTACATCAGTGTTTCACATCCTTGCCTGACATTTGGTATTATCCTACTATTTAAAATTTCCATCTCTGAGCTACAGCTTTGTATACTTTGTTTTCTACTGGGATGTCCAAATAAAAACAAGCTAACAGTAGCAAAAATAAAACTCCCCTCAAAAACCAAAACACAACTACAAAATATATCTATAAAACATCCAAATCATATCATTTTAGCTCTTTCAGTCCTACCAAGTAGTATCTCTGCCGAGGATCCATTACATTTTTCCTCTGCTATACTACCCTTGTAAAAGTCAATTCTATAAAAACCAGGCTAAGTTTTATTACACAATTTCATGGAAGCAGGCTGAGGACAAAGTCAATAGGTACAGCATGCTGATTAAAACTTAGTGACTACTCAGTATGGTAACTGCACATATACACAGTGAAATCATTCTTCCATCTAACTCTTCCAACTAACTCTTAGAGTTAGGTTAATTCTTGGAATTACTACTAATACTGAGATTATGAATGGCTGTTTGCAACAGGCTAGAGAACAACCAGTCTTACCTTTACGTCTTCAGCAGGGAAATCCTGTTCAAAACATTTTTTACACCCATATCTACATCTATGCCTAATTTCTAACGTCTTTGTTGTTTCACCAACTAGACTACTGAACAGCTTATGTTCTCAGAACACAGGTTCTCTGTATGCAATGCCGATTTTTTTTTATTTCTTCAAAAAAAAAAAAAAAAAAAAAAAAAAAAAAAGCAGATACAAGCACAGAACGTGCAGGTTTGTTATACAGGTATGCATGTGCCATGGTGGTCTGCTGCACCTATTGACCCGTCCTCTAAGTTCCCTCCCCTCACCCCCAACTCCCAACAGGCACTGGTGTGTGCTGTTCCCCTCTGTGTGTCCATGTGTTCTTAATGTTCAGCTTCCACTTATGAGTGAAAATATACGGTGTTTGGTTTTCTGTTCCTGTGTTAGTTTGCTGAGGATAATGGCTTCCAGCTTCATCCATGTCCTTGGAAAAGACATCATCTCACTCCTTTTTACGGCTGCATGGTATTCCATGGAGTGTATGTACCACATTTGCTTTATCTAGTCTATCACTGATGGGCATTTGGGTTGGTTTCACATTGCCAGTATTTTCATACCACATGTTTTCTAGGAATCCCAGTCCTTGTCTACTTCAGATGCCAGTTCAATCCTTCCCATCTTAACTTTAAAAATGTAAATATCCTTTTCCAGACTTGCAATTTGACCATGTGGGGCCAGAGAGCCTATTCTGTAGCTATAAAAACTCCCTGGGTAACTTGTCTCCTCTTTGGGTTCTAGTGCTCCAATCCACTTTGACTGCTGACATCACCCTGATAGATCATAATACATAACATATACATGTGAATAATCACAGACTAGACAGCAAAATTACAACTGATGTGGTAGTTTTGAAGGATGTCCACAAATTCTTTGCTCCTTTCATTCCCCTTTTCTTGAATGTGGGTATACTACGTAAAGTATCTCTGATGAATATAATGTAGTAGAAATGAGGAATTCTGACTCCTGAGGCTAAGTGACTGTTTTGTTCTCTCTGTGATCACTCTCTGGGGAAAGCCACCGGCTATGTCTTGATGACATTCAAGGTGCTCTATGGAAAGCTCCATGTGATGAGTAACTAGAGCTTTCTGCCATCAGCCATGTAAGTAAGCCATTGTGGAAGCAGAACCTACAACCCCAGCCAAGTCTTCAGATGACTTGGAGGATGCTTTGATTGTAATCTTATGAGAGATCTAAGCTAGAACCAGCTAGCTGGGCTACTCCCAAATTCCTGACCCATAGAAATTATGAGACAAATGTTTTTTTGTTTGCTTTTTGAGACGGAGTCTCATTCTGTCACTCAGGTTGGAGTGCAGTGGCATGATCTCGGCTCACTGCAACCTCCACCTCCTGGGTTCAAGTGATTCTCCTGCCTCAGCCTCCCGAGTAGCTGGGACTATAGGCACGTGCCACTGCATCCGGCTAATTTTTGTATTTTTAGTAGAAACAGGGTTTCGCCATGTTAGCCAGGCTGGTCTTGAACTCCTGACCTCAGGTGATGCACCCGCCTTGGCCTCCCAAAGGGCTGGGGTTACAGGCGTGAGCCACTGCCCCCAGCCTGAGATAAATATTTGACACCACCAAGTTTGGGAGTAATTTGTTACATGGCAAAAGATAATTAAAATTATTAGTTTCCTTATTATAAAAGACCCTTAGAAATATAATAATAACCAATCATCTTACACAATTAGTTCTTTAGTCCAAATAGCTCAAGTGCATCAGCACCTACACGTTTGTGGTTATCCCTATGCCTATAATACCCTGAATTCTACTCTGATTACCTACACTGATTATTCTTTCAAGCTCTAGTGAAGTCTCAGTTCTTCTGTGATTCCTATTATTATTATATATTTGCTTTCTTGCTCTCCAGGAACTAATAGTATATTCAAGGAGATACAGTATAAAATAAAAATGCAGTGTAAGTCTAAATATCCCTGATTTGATTACAACATATCTTTTGATATAAACATATTTCCTCATAAGAGTCCTCCAAATTTTATGTTTTCATATTAAATTTATTTTTAAACAACTAATCTCTATTTCCAATAGCCTCACCCCATTTAAGAAAGATGTCTAGCTGAGGCATTTGGGAGCATCCAAAGCAAAGAGTAATGCAGGGGGTGCAAAAAATAGTAAGACAAGAGGAAAGGAATAAAGACAATCATAAGACAGACTAATTTTTACAACATCCTAGCATTCAGGCCTTGAAATTAAAAACTAAACATGAAGGCTTTACTTGGAAACTCAAAGAAAAGGAACTAGAAAAGAATAATTCAGGTGCAATTCTATTAATCCTTTGTGGTAACTCTATTTTACAGCATAAAAGAATGATCATGTTTGCTTCTAGGAAAAACTTATCTAATTATTGATCATTACAATGCATCCTTTTGGGGAGAACATAACCCTTTAATATGGTATCTGGACCTAAGTTTTCATTGGATTACTTTCTCAGCAGATGGAAGTTTAATTATTTTCTGCTTATAACAAAATGAGGTTGAACTCCAGTGAATTTTAATTAAATGTTTCTTGTATTACCCTTATGGATGCTTTTCCAGTAAGGATGCAGACTAAATTAAAATGATTATAATACAAATTTCAAAAACCATGCTTAGCTAATATGGATGTTTTGACACTCACAATTATTGCTCATGTACAAGGAATCTCATGAGAGCTCCACAGGGAGAAATAATTATGAATGGCCAAAAAAGGCACACTCTCTAAATTGCAGCACCCAGTGAATTCAGGTCTCAACCAATTTTATCACTAAGATTAGGCTGCGAGGAAAAAAAAAATCACATTTTCCAAAATAGAATAATTATAGAGAATTTTTTGGTATGAAATAGCATAGGGAGAAAGAAATAGCTGAAAGAATTACAGAAAAGTCATACTGTATCCTTTATTAGACTAAGAACTTGAGAATAGAGACCCTAACTTACAATAAGATGATTAAAATAAATACTACCTTAGCGAGTGCTGAAAGTTAGTAAAGAGTGTTACAGAGAACACAGAAGCACGTAAAATGGAGAGGAGAGAAGGTGGTCAAGGAAGGCTTTTGAAAGGTAGTAATGTGTAAGAGTAAACCCGAAGAGCTGAAACTGTGTTGTTTACAAATTAAATACAAATATTTCATTTATTATTTCAGGCTTACTAGAGTTATTTAATTTTAGTTTTAATTTAATTTAATTTAATTTTTTTGGGACATAATCTTACTCCATCGCCCAGGCTGGAGTGCAGTGGCACAATCTTGGCTCACTGCAACCTCCACCTCCCGGGTTCAAGCGATTCTCCTGCTTCAGCCTCCTGAGTAGCTGGGATTACAGGCACAGACCATCACACCCCTTTTTTTTTTGTATTATTAGTAGAGACAGGGTTTCGCCATGTTGGCTAGGCTGGTCTCGAACTCCTGACCTCAAGTGATCCTCCCAAAGTGCTGGGATTACAGGTGTGAGCTACCGCACCCGACTGCTAAGAGTTATTTTAGATGTATTGAAAATGTGGCAAGTTTATAAAACTATTTTTCATCTCATTTTTGTTGCTAATTATTAATAAGTAAAAACAGTGGCAAAATACACAGAAAGGCACTGCATCACTAAGAGTCTCATACAGAGAAGGTGTATGGCTATCTGTTACCCTGCATTACGCCTTAATATTTTACTATTAACAGAATTTTAGGCTTTAATAAGATTAAAAATCAAATGTCAAAGATACATTAGCTTTCAAAGAAAAATATCCTCTAATTAATATTTACATTTTAACTAGCAACCTGACCCCCACATTAGATCAAAGATGAAATATTAAGAAGAAGATTAAAATAATGGAATAATAGTTTGTTCAGAATAAATCTATTATGGTATTGTATAAGAATAGCTCTGAAAATATGATTCTGAAATGTTTCATTGTAACATAAAAGGATGAAAAGACTCAACTAGTCTTAAAGACATCTGTTTTTCATCTTCTCAAAAGTACTTAAATCTGTCCTCTGAGTAAGTTTGTCCTTATGGCCTAACAACTTTGTTATTCTTTTTTGTTGTTGTTGTTATTCTTTTACCATTACTGAAATAACAATCTTTCTGGTTGCTTTTATAACTGTCTTCATCTTTGATGTTTTTCATTTTCACTACGGTATGTCTAGATGTAGAATATATTCCCTAACCTACTCAGCACTCATTAAGTTTTTTTAATCTGAAGTTTCTGTTTAACTAATTTTATAAAATTGTACTCACTACTACTACTTCTCTCTAATACATTTCTTTCTATGTATCTATTTTTTTAGACACGGGGTCTTGCTCTGTCGTTCAGGCTGGAGTGCAGTGGCTTGATCATAGTTCACTGCACCCTGGAACTCCTGGGCTCAAGCAGTCTTACCATCTCATCCTCCTGTGTAGCTGGGACTACAGGTGCACACTACCATGACCAAGGGCTTCTCTCTTTTCCTGAAACTTCTTTTTAAAGGACTGGTGAAGTATCTGACACTACCCTTCCCATATCAGAAAGGTCCGTCCATATCTTTTTATCCCTTTATTACTGTGATCTGGGTAAACTCCTCAGTATTACATTCCAATTCACTAATTGTCTCCTCAACATTCTAAAGTATATCCTGTTCATTAAATATGAATTTGTGAGTGTTTTTCACATTCAGTATTTTGTGTTTTTACATCCCCTGGTTCTTATTATTTGCCATTTATTTGTGGAAGAAACTGATCATTTGGTCTGAAGTACAGTTTCCCAAATTCTAGACTTAAGCAATACCACAAGGATTCAGTTAGAAAACACATTCTTCTGGTCTCCATACTTACTGTAAATGATTACTTAGATCTAGCAGCATACAGATTAAAATCCAATTTGTTGGCCGGGTGCAGTGGCTCACACTTGTAATCCCAGCACGTTGGGAGCCCGAGGCAGGAAGATCACCTGAGGTCAGGAGTTCAAGACCAGCCAGGCCAACATGGTGAAACCCTGTCTCTATTAAAAATACAAAATTAGCTGAGGATGGTGGTGCACACCTGTATTCCCAGCTACTCAGGAGGCTGAGGCAGGAGAATCACCTGAACCCAGGAGGCGGGGGCTGGAATCAGCCCAAGATCACGCTGCTGCACTCCAGCCTGGGAGACAGAGCAAGATTGTCTCAAAAACAAAACAAAACAAAAAAACAAAAAAATCAAATTTGTTTGAAGTGGATGGTGGTAAGTGGGACACAAAGTGGTAACTTAAAAAGTGATATCTCTGCATAGTACCTACTACTTCCAGTACGTGCAGTAATATCTCCTATTAATCAATAATGTAGACTGAGTGATACTTATGGAAATTAATGATTAGTATCCATGGCATGCTGATCACTTTTGCCAAGTAGGTCACATTCTCAACTACACTTGTATTCTAGTTTTGAATAGTTCAGTCAGGCTATGACAGATCCAATACTAGTTTATGCAAGGTCTGATTAAATAAAATGTAAATCAACATTGTAACAGTAAGAAATTAAATAACTGTTGTTTCTACAAGGATAATAGGTTGAAAGCTTTGTCAAGACTCAAGAAAGGTGAGTCATTAAAATAAATACTGGTGTTACAGACTGACAGAAAATCATAAAAATATGGATTCTGAATTCAAGACTGCATGACGGAGCCAAGATGGACAGAATTTATGCTCTCACTTGAAAAAAGTAAATGAAAACAAAAACCAAATTGCACAAAATGATTTTTAGATGTTGGATTATCAGTCAGAGCAGAATGGTAATCTCTGAGAGGGGATAACACAAGATGAGCCCTAAGACTGCCCCCAGATATTTACATGCCATTTAACAGTTTAAGCAGGGTAAAATTTACCTTACAAGGGACACAAAATGAAGTCCTTCAAACTGCAAGGGAATAACACGATACAATAACTAAATTCCACGGGAAAAAATGAAGAATGTCAAAAATGTTAACAAGAAAGTAAATTAGAAGACAGTAAGTGTATTTGTATTTTCTCCTCTTAATTTTGTTAAGAGATGACTGAACACTCTGAAAATAATGCTGTACAGGTGGGTTAGTAACTAATGTAGACAAAATATATATGACAATAATAGCACAAAGGAAGGACAAGAAAATGAAGCTGGGCTAGAGCAGTGCTTTGTGGAAAATTTAGAGCTTATAAGGGGAGTTGAGAAAGGAGGAAGGATATAAAATGAATAATTTTAGTTTTCAACTTAAGAAACAATTAGGCCAGGCATGATAGTTCACACCTAATCACAGCACTTTGGGAGGCTGAGGGTGGTAAATGGCTTGAGCCCAGGAATTTGAGACCAGCCTGGGCAACATGGCGAAACTTCGTCTCTACTGAAAATACAAAAAATTAACCAGGTATGGTAGTGTGTGCCTGTAGTCCCAGCTACTCAGGAGGCTGAGGTGGGAAGATCACCTGAGCCCAGGATGTTGAGGCTGAAGTGAGCTGTGATTGTGCAACTGCACTCCCACCTGGGTGACAGAGTAAAACCCTGTCTCAAAAAAACCAAACCAAACCAAAACAAAAAGATCAGCAAAGGATGGCTCACACCTGTAATCCCATCACTTTGGGAGGCTAAGGCAGGTGGATCACTTGAGTCCAGGAGTTCAACACGAGCCTGGACAACATGGCCAAACCCTGACTCTACAAAAATAACAAAAATTAGCCAGGCATAGTGATGTGTGCTTGTAGTCCCAACTACTCAGGGGGCTGAGGCGGGAGTACTGCTTGAGCCCGTGAAGTCAAGGCTGCAGTGAGCAATGATCATGACACTGCACTCCAGCTTGGACAACAGAGCGAGATCCTGTCTCCGAAAAAAAAAAAAAAAAAACAACACAAATAATAAATATGGAAACATAAATCAAGGAAATAAAAAACAGAGAAAGCCAACAAAATTACAAGTCCATTATTATTTGAAAAGATCAACAAAACAAACTTACAGTGAAACTGAGAAAGACAAAAGAGAAGACACAAATCACACAAGAATAAATAAGGGGGCTGACAACCCCCCAAAAATTAAAACAACTACAAAATATTATGAATAACATTATGCCATTAAATTTACAATTTGCATGAAATAGACATATTGCCTGAGAAATACAAATTACCAAATCTGACTCAAAAACAACAAAAAATCTGGCGGTGTGCAGGGCGCAGTGGCTCACACCTATAATCCTAGTACTTTGGGAGGCCGAAGCAGAAGGACTGCTTGAGGTCAAGAGTTCTAACCATTCTGGGCAAAACAGGGAGAAGCCCTAGTTTCTAGAAAAAATAAAAAATTGGCCAGGTGTCGTGAAGCTTGCCTGCAGTCCTAGCTACTTGGGAGCTGAGGCAGGAGGACTGCTTGAGCCCAGGACATTGAGGTTCTACGGAGTTGTGATTGTGCCACTGCACTCCAGGCAGGGTGACAGACAGAGACCCTGTCTCAAGAAAATAAATTAATAAAAAACAAAACAAAACTTAAAAAAATTCAGGATATATAAATTGAATCAGTAATTAAAAACCTTTACACAAAGAAAAGCCTGGTATTAAAGGGCTTCTCTGCTGAAATCTACCAAACATAGAAATATTACCAATCCTTCATAAATTCTTTCAGAAAACAGAGCAGGAAGAATAGTTCCCAGTGTATTCTATAAGGCTAGTATTGACACTGTTATTCCTTATGAAAGTAAATGCACAAATCCTTAACAAAATACTAGCAAACTGAATCCAGTAGCATATAAAAAGGATTGTATACCATAACCATGTGGAATTTCTCCCAGAATGCAAGGTTGGTATAATATCTGAAAATCAATGAACACAATACACTATATTAATATAATAAAAGAAAAAACCTGCATGACCACCTCATTCAAAACAGAAAAAATAAAGAAATACATCAATCCATCATGATAAAAACACCCAACAAATCAGGCTAGAAGTAAATTCCTCATCCTACTAAAGGGTATCTACACAAAACTTAGTTAATAACATCGTGCCTAATTTCAAAGTCTAATTGTTTCCCCATTAAGATAAGGAATAAATTCTATATTGTTAAGAGGTTAATTCTCTCCAAATTGGTTCACAAGGTAATTACAATCCCTATGATAATTTCAGAAGCTTTTGTTCAAAAATTGACAAGCTGACCCTAAGATTTATACAGAAATGCAAAGAATCTGTACCAGTCAAAAAATTTTTGAAAACGAAGAATAAAGTAAGACAACTTACACTACCTAATTTTAAAAGCTCATCTAAAGCATACTCAATGCAGGTGGTATCAGTGTAAGGATAGACAGAAAATCCAAAAATAAAACCTTGTGTTTATGGTCAATTCATCTTCAAGAGAGATGGCATGGTAATTCAATTGGGGAAAGATACTTTGTCATTAAATGGTGCTGGGAAAACTGAAAATTTGTATGCAAAAAGTAGACTTCTGCCCTTATATCACGTCATCTACAAAAATTGAATTAAAAATTCAATTTTAAAGGTTCATATGCCTTAATAGAAGAGACAAAATGATTAAACTTCGAAAATAAAACACAGAAGAAATCTTAGGGGTTAGGCAATGTTCACAGATACCAAAAGCATGACCACAGAAGAAAAACTCATAAACTGGGCCATACAAATTGAAAACATTTGCTCTGTAAAGGTCACCATCAAGAAAATGAAAAAAAGCTATACATCTGTTCACGAACTTATATCAAGAATATCAGCCAGGTGTGGTGGCATGGATGGCACGGTGGCTCATGTCTGTAATCCCAGCACTTTGGGAGGCCAAGGTGGGTGGATCACTTGAGGTCAAGAGTTCGAGACCAGCCTGACCAACATGGTGAAACTCCGCCTCTATTAAAAATACAAAATTAGGGCCGGGCACGGTGGCTCATACCTATAATTCCAGCATGTTGGGAGGCTGAGGCAGGTGGCTCGTGAGGTCAAGAGATCAAGACCATCCTGGATAACACGGTGAAACCCCATCTCTACTAAAAATACAAAAAAATTAGCCAGGCATGGTGGCAGGCGCCTGTAGTCCCAGCTACTCGGGAGGCTGAGGCAGGAGAATGGCGTGAACCTGGGAGGCGGAGCTTGCAGAGAGCAGAGACCGTGCACCACTGCACTCCAGCCTGGGTGACAGAGCAAGACTCCGTCTCAAAAAAAAAAAAAAAAAAAAAAAATTAGCTGGGCGTGGTGGTGCATGCCTGTAATCCCAGCTACTTGGGAGGCTGAGGCAGGAGAACCACTTGGATCTGGGAGGCAGAGGTTGCAGTGAGCTGAGATTGTACCACTGCACTCCAGCCTGGGCAACAAGAGGGAGACTCCGTCTCAAAAAACAAACAAACAAACAAAAAAACCCCCAAAAAACACAGAAAGTACTCCTATAAACCCTTCTTAATAATTGTTAGAATAAACAGACCGAAAATCAGTAAAGAGAGAGAAGACTTGAACAACACTATTAACCAATTTGACCTAACTGGTATAAGACGCTAGCCAACAAAAGCAGAATATACCTTATTTTCTTGAGGTATAGAGATCTATAGGTATCTATAGGTATCTATTCACCAAGATAGAGTTTACTGTGGGTCTCATACAAATCTCAATAAATTTAGAAGCATTCAAATCATACAAACTATGTTCTTTGACTACATTGAAATTAAATTAGAAATCAATAACAGAAAGGTATCTAGAAAATCCTCAAATATCTGCACACTAAATGCCATGCTTCAAAATAATCCATGGGTGAAACAAAAAAATCAAAAAGGAAACTAGACAGTATTTTGAACTAAATAAAAAATGCAATATATCCAAATTTAGGACACATAGCTAAAGCAGTGCTTTAAAAAATTTATAGGAGTAAATTCCCTTATTAGAAAAAAAGTGTCAAATCAATGACCTCAAATTCTACCTTGAGAAACTAAGAAGAGCTGAAGAAGTGAAACCCAAAGTGAGCAGATGAAAGGAAATAAAGGACAGAAATCAATGAAATAGAAAACAAAAATAATAGAAAAATTCAATATAAAATAAGATAAAATAGCTCCACATACACTGAACAATGAAAAGAGAAAAGCGGGAAGGAAGCAGGGGGAAAAGGAGTGGGAGAGAGAGAGGGAGAGAGAGAGAGATGTTAAATTACCAATATTATGACCAACTTTATGCTGATAGTTTTTTAATACAACTCAACCACCAAGATGAATGTACCAATTTCTTATAAGACATAAACTACCAAAGTTTACTCAGGAACAACAGATAACCTCAACAGCCCTATATCTACTGGAGAAAATTCATACTTAAAAACCTTCCTGCAAAGAAAATTCTAGGCTCCAATGGTAGAACTCTTATCTGAAGAAGAAATAATACCAGTTCTATCAAACTCACCGAGAAAATTAAAGAAGAGAGAATACACTGTAACTCAATCTACAAGGCCAGCATTACCTTGCTAACAAAGGTAGACAGTGATATTCATTAAAATAAAGTTAGAGCTATTTATCCCTCTTGAACATAGATGCAGAAATTCTTGGAAAAACTCAGCAAATCACATACAACCATATATAGATAAAAACATATCATGATAATGTGGGCTTTATGCGTTCATGTTAACATCTGAACATAAATTCACCACATTAAGTCTTTAAAAAATAAAACAACACACTGATCTCAATAGATGCAGAAAAAGATTTGACAAAATCCAAGATATATTCCTAATAAAAACTCTCAGAAAACTAGGAATAAAAAGAAACTTCCGGCTGGGCGCGATGGCTCATGCCTGTAACCCCAGCACTTTGGGAGGCCGAGGCGGGCGGATCACCAGGTCAGGAGATCGAGACCACCCTGGCTAACACGG
The DNA here is from genome assembly GCF_000001405.40 of Homo sapiens. NCBI lineage: Eukaryota > Metazoa > Chordata > Mammalia > Primates > Hominidae > Homo > Homo sapiens. The sequence continues at coordinate 136,497,659 of NC_000003.12, forward strand.
TGAAACCCTGTCTCTAGTTAAAAAAAAAATAAAATAAATACAAAAAATTAGCTGGGCGTGGTGGCAGGCGCCTGTACTCCCAGCTACTTGGGAGGCTGAGGCAGGAGAATGGCGTGAACCCGGGAGGTGGAGCTTGCAGTGAGCCGAGATCGCGCCACTGCACTCTAGCCTGGGCAACAGAGCGAGACTCATCTCAAAAAAAAAAAAAATTCCTCAATCTGATAAGGGGCATCTATGAAAATATTACAGCTAGGCCGGGCCTGGTGGCTCACGACTATAATCCCAGCACTTTGGGAGGCCAAGGCAGGCAGATCACCTGAGGTCAGGAGTTCGAGACCAGCCTGACCAACAGGGAGAAACTCCGTCTCTACTAAAAATACAAAATTAGCTGGGCGTGGCAGAGCATGCCTGTAATCCCAGCTACTTGGAAGGCTGAGGCAGGACAATCACTTGAACCCGGGAGGCGGAGGTTGCAGTGAGCCGACATTGTGCCAGTGCACTCCAGCCTGGGCAACAAGAGCAAAACTCCATCTTAAAAAAAAAAAAAAAAATTATATATATATATATATATATATACACATACATATACATACACACACACACACACACACACACCACACACACATACACACACACACACACACACACATATATATACACATTACGGCTAGCAACGCATTCAATGATAAAAAAAACTCTGACTTTGTTCAGAGAAAGAAGCCAGATCCGCCCACAAAAAAAAAACCCAGATATGTTGCATAATTCCATTTCTATAAAATTCTAGAAAATGTAAATAATCAGCACATCAATGCTTGCTTGAGGATGATGGAAAGGTAGAACAACAGGAAGGGAGGTAGAAAGGAGTTACAAAGTGCCATGAGAAAACTTGGCACTTGAATTTCTTAAGGATGATGGAGAGATTCATTATCTCGCTTGTGGTGGTGGTTTTATAGGTGTATATATGTCAAAACTCATCAAATTATGCACTTAAATGTGCAGTTTATTTATGTGAATTAGACCTCCATAAAGTTGCAGTAAAAAAAAAAAAACAAAGACTGCATGGCAGGTATATGCAAATCCTTGTTCTTTTTAAAACAAATATATCAATAACATGTTATACATGCAGTATATGCAAGAAAGCAGACATAAAACTCCAATCAGACAATCCACACTGAACATAAAAGCCCTGGACCTATTTCAAAAGAACATTTTATTCTTTTGGTTAAAATGTTTAAGTTCCATTAAAATAAATTATCAAACAGATACACATACACACACAACTTGCCACTTGGTATACACAGGGGATTGCTTCTCGGACTGCTCACATATAGCAAAATCCATGCATACTCAAGTACTACAGCTGTCTCTGAGTAATCTGCATATTCAACAAGTTAGACCTCCATGTAAACAGGTTTCGTATCCCACAAATACTGTATTTTCAATCCGTGTTTAGTTAGAAACAAATGGTTTACAGGCAATTCTTGCAGTTCAAACCCATGTTGTTCAAAGGTCAGCTGTGTATGTGTGTATTTCTTTGTTTTGTTTTAGACAGGGTCTTGTTCTGTCACCCAGACTGGAGTGCAGTGGCGCAATCAAGGCTCACTGCAGCCTTGACCCTCTGGTTCAGGCAATCCTCCCACCTCAGCCTCCCGAGTAGCTGGGACTACAAGTGCACACTACCACACCGGGCTGATTTTTAAATTTTCTGTAGAGATGCAGTCTTTAACTCCTGGCCTCAAGTGATCCTCCCACCTTAGCCTCCCAAAGTGTTAGGATTACAGGGATGAGCGACCACATCCCACCGCTCTATATTAATTAGCCAAATATACTCTCAAATGGGTCTGAAAACAGTGCTTCTATTTATTATCTTTGTCTATCTACTTACACACATCACATCTAATCAACAGAAGGTAACAAGTATATGTATATGATTCATTCACTCAATGTAAAATATGCTCTTTTACAATGTAGTTAGTGTTTTTAAGGTTCCTGGGCTTCACAGAAAGACAAACTAAAATCATTAGCAATGGAGGATAACAAAAATATTTTGCTAATGGCTTTTATTTCAATGTGTTTATCTGAAAGGAAACAAGAATGAAGATACAGTTGTTGCATTAACTGCGGGGTTGCCCTTCTCTGTCCTCTTTTCGCCCAGCTTCACACAGGTTTTTTTTTTTTTTAAATTATTAATTTGCCCATGGAACAAAATGAGTACCACAGAGCAAGAAGTAGGGCACTTAATTTTTTAAATGTGAAAACAAGAATATCTTATTAAAGCTACATTAGTTTATGATCCTATTAATTAATATTCCATCAGTATAAATCCAAGTACATAAGCTACTTCCAACAGCATATGTTCTGAATTTGGAAGAGTATAACAGTGGTAGTGGCAGCAGTCATACAATTTCTTCTATAGTTGTAGTGTGACACTGACAGCCAAAGTTGTTTTCCAGAAAACAAAACATAAATCATAATTAGTGAGTTTTACAGTTAGCCTGGGCCACAAAAAAAATCAATAATTGTTTAAGTGAAAAGCCTTCAAAATTATTTTTAAAATCTCTTACCGGTATCTATGAACAAATATACCCTTAAAAATAGAGTTCATCATATTTTCGATTTCATCCTGATTTTCTTGCAGCTGAAATGAAAAAATATATATAAGTTGAAATCCTGATCATTTTATTTGGAAGGAACAGCTCCAATTGTTTTTAATTCCTGGTTATTTTCATTCTGGGTAGTTTTCAATCCTTTTCTCACTTGTAGTACAGATGTGTGAAAATACCAGTATATTTCCATTATTCCTTTACATTTATATCATATTGGTTTTAGAACTTTTCACTGTCTCTCTCTAGACACAAACTTCACAATCACAAACAAGGAGTGGTGGTATAGCTAAGTGTGGTCAGATTCCTATCTCCAAAATATCATCTGCCTTAGGAACAGAACTCTTCTGTCTAAATCAGGTCCCTGGGTTTGGTTTTGCCTTTCTTGGTTAAAGGAACATCCCTAATTAACATATTTGCTGTTCTAAAAGTAACTTCCTACTCCATCTAATGTATCCAAACATTACTCTGCATCTCACTAGCCTGTAACAGACAGCAGGCCAAGTTCCCAATAAGAGGTATAACAGAAGATAAAAAGGATCCTGGCTACTTATGGTGAAGTACAGTAACAAAATAAATAGTATCTATGGCAAAGATACAAATTTCAGGCAACAAAACTGATCAGAGTTAAAGTTTGTGTTTATTATTACTCAAAAACAACAACAGCACTGAATTACATTCAAGGTGGTATCTACTATTCTAATTTATTCTGTAATTTACTGTATAGTAATATTCAGTGAAATATTTGCTTTTACTACATACATGAATGTTGACAATAAAATTCCCTCAGATTTATTCTTTTGCTGTATGCTTTGTTTCAGGCTTTACTAAAATAAGTTTGGGAATACTTTTATTGCAAAATCATTCAAATTTCTGCAACTTCCTCCAAGTGTTAAAAATTATTTTTATTGCATTTATCATATAAAAACTAATTAATTTATAAGAGGCATACATTTCTGAGTCAGCAGTACTTACGAAAGCCCAGCTCTAGTATTTACTTCTATAATATTTCAAGTATGGTATGTGTGAAGGGTTAAACTATGTTCCTTAAAAATTTGTACATTGAAGTTCTAACCCCTAGTACCTCAGAATGTGAAATTAGGAGAGGACTGTGGCAGATTTAATTCATTAAGATGCAGCCATACTGGAGTAGGGGAGGACCCTAATCCAATATGACTGATGTCCTTAAGAAGGGAATAAATTTGGGGACAAACATACACACAGGAAGAATGTCATGCAAAGATTGGAATTATGCTGCCACCAGCCAAGCAACTACCAGACACTAGGAGAGAAGTCTGGAACACAACCTTCCGAGCGAGGATGGCCCTGCCAACACCTTGATCTTGGAATTCTAGCCTGCAAGCCTGTGAGATTATAATAATGTTATTTTGTTTAATTCGTTCAGTTTGTGGTACTTTGTCACAGCAGCCCTATCAAACTAATACAGTATGGCTAATAATCAAAACATCGTTGCTTTTTCTTGCCTATTATAAACCCATTAAGTTATTATTCATACGTAATTCCTTTGCTGTAATGTGATATTCTTTTTTCAAGTTATAAGATAGACTAATAGTGCAGATCTAAGATTTTATGTAGTATTGGATAAATAAAAATGTTTCCTATTAAAAACCCAGTATAGGCCGGGCACAGTGGCTCATGCCTGTAATCTCAGCACTTTGGGAGGCCGAGGTGGGCGGATCACCTGAGGTTGGGAGTTCGAGACCAGCCTGACCAACATGGAGAAACCCCATCTCTACTAAAAATACAAAATTAGCCAGGAGTGGTGGCACATGCCTGTACTCCCAGCTACTTGGGAGGCTGAGGCAGGAGAATTGCTTTTGGGGAGGTGGAGGTTGCGGTGAGTTGAGATCGCACCATTGCACTCGAGCCTGGGCAACAAGAGCGAAACTCCATCCCCCAAAAAAAAAACAGTATAAAATCATTTTTAACACATATATGAAAATGTCATTGTAAAACTGAGACCAATCTTATTCATAGGAGTGCCTTATATACCAGCTAGTATGTAGCCTTTAGCTTTTTCCTGGAAATGTAGCTTTGCTGGCTCACGGTTCTGACTTCAGTATTTATCATACTTTTTGAGCCTATAGCCTTATAACCTTTTTGAGTTGCCTAACTCCCAGACCAACTTCTTTCAAAAACAGAGGTGTTCTATGATTCCTTTCTGCCATCAGACGGCACTTACATGATCACCAATGAACACTCCAGCTTCATTTGGAAACCCTGACATCAAATAATCTAACTAAATATACACATAAACCTTTTTACAGGGAACTTAAAAAGTACTAATGTCATATATATTCCACACATTTACAGAACATAAAATCATCAGTTCCCATGAAACTTACCTCTTTGCGTTTCTGAAGTAGTAACTCCAACCTTTCATTGGCTCTCTTCCCAATCATTTTATTTCTCTCGGCTTCATATTGTCTCTGGGTATTATCCTGATGAATACTGAGGTTTAAGGCAACATTCACCAGAGCAGTCATGAGCTTCATGGCTATGAAATGAAGAAATATTATAATACCTATGAATCAAAACTTTATCCATATAAGATTACAAATTTATAAAGCCAATGGATGAAGAAATGAAACTAGTGAATTTCTGTTTTACAACCCAGGCATAATTTAAGTTTAAATAAAAGATAACTAATTTATAGAAATAAACTCATCTGCAACATAATTTTCTCTACCTCAGCTTGGCTTGTTAACACTTTCCATTTAAACACAGCCTCATCCTAACTAACAGAAGAAAGGATTTCAGTTCTATCTTCAACAACTCCTTTCTCCTACTCCTAAAAATACACACGTAAGGGCACACTAATCAAGCCTAAACCTCTCTACTGATCATCAAATATGAGTATATATAAATGCATCCTTAGTACCTTTACTTAAATGTGTCAAAGGTACCTTAGATGTTTTAGATGTTTACAATCAATTTGTGATCTTTACCCCCATATATGGTCCTCTCCCTTTGTTCCTCACCTCAGAGAGTTGCACAACCTCCAAACCCTGAAAAACATACTAATCCTACCAAACTCATTGAAGTCCATTAAAAATGTACTTTGTGAATTTCCAATTGACCTATCCTCCCCAGCCACAGTGATAATGTACTTTTAAACGTTCACTTGTATTTGTAAATCTTATTAAACACTTTCAAATTTGTTTCACATCCTCTGACAAACAGGTATGACACAAACCTCAAACTTCTGTCTGTTCATATTTGTTTTCATCATTGAGATAGTGAGAATATGGGAAATACAGGTAAAGGAACAAGACAGTTTGAGCTGGTAAATAATTTCCCCTTTTTGCTCCTTTTAGGTTATTCATGTGCAAGTATGAACATTTGGTTATTAAAAAAACTGAACTGTTCAGTGCTTTAGAAGAACTGATTCATTTATCTGCAAACATATCCATATAATTAAAAACAAGCATGCACTGTTTCTAAAATTTCATTATTTTTATTTTTTTTTTGAGTTGGAGTTTCGCTCTTGTTGCCCAGGCTGGAGTGCAATGGCGCAATCTTGGCTTACTGCAACCTCCACCTCCCAGGTTCAAGTGATTCTCCTGCCTCAGCCTCCGGAGTAGCTGGGATTACAGACATGCACCACCACGCCCAGCTAATTACTGTATTTTTTAGTAGAGACAGGGTTTCACCATGTTGGCCAGGCGGGTTTTGAACTCCCGATCTCAGGTGATCCGCCCACCTTGGCCTCCCAAAGTGCTGGGATTACAGGCATGAGCCACCGCACCCGGCCTATTTTTTCTTAATTACATATGTAAACATATGTGTTTTCTAAATACATATAGTATGTATGTATGCTGTATCTGTATTTCTATCTACACGTATACTCAATTTGTTATTCGGAAACTCTATCTACATTTTGATCAGTTCTATGTTATTAAATAATTGCTGCTGTCCTTAAACCAAAATATAAGGTAAAAAACCTGAAAAACAAATGTAAACATCCTGAAAAAACAAACGTGTTTAAGTTAGTGACCATTACAATGCAAAATTATAATGCAAAAATCCTGAAAAACAAATTTATTTAAATTAGTGACCAGAAATGGATTTTTCAGGATTTTTGCATTAGAAATGAATTAAATGAAAATGTTTCTTTCCCTGTGGTAGTGTCTCAAACAGTAAACTGAGAAATATTCTTGTGTTTCAAAATATAAGACAGTGATTTTGAGTTTTGTGTGTTGCCAGTAGTAGTATATTGGACTACACTATGAAAGTTTAAAATAATTTGTAAAATTAAACTGTATAAGGAAAGAGAACAGCTCAAAGACAAGAGGAATCTGGAGCATTCCAACTACTCAAGCTGATAATACTAGTTTATCAGTGTTTGTTATGAGCATATGAAGTGACACCCAAAGGAGCTTAATTCAGTATCTACCTCTACATACCTAACGCAAAATGACTTGAATATCCAGGAGCTGAAAAGCATTAAAATTAACACCAACCCTGGTTGCAATTCACCAGTGGAAACTGAGGCACGGCTTTTTAAAAACTTCATAGCTTTTACTTTCAGCTGTATATCTTCTTGTGAACCCAGATCCCAAACTCCAAATGTCATTATTTAATGACTCTCCTTCCATCCCAGATACATAAACAGTAAAGTAATCAACATACTAAAACAGACAAGACATGTTAAAAATGATCAATATATCTTCGGAAACATATTAGGTATAATACAGCAGTGTTTACTGAGATAAAATATTTTTAAACCTGTAAAACTGAGACTTCATTGAATAACACATAAACAGCTATTAAAAACAAACCTCAAATTAAATGACAGACATAAAATGAGGATTATGATGTTTTAATTGAGTCCACTGAAAAAGACTTATCTCTGCATAGAATTGGTACTTATCAAATTTTCCTGGTATTACTAAAAAAACCTTTTTGTAAGTTAATAATCCTGCAGGAATTCAGCCATCATAATGTGACATCAGCTCTTAAGTGGCTTCTTCTTGTCTAGCAAGGAGAAGAATACGTCCTTCATTTAGCTTTCACATTTTAACTGCTGACTATAAAATGGTAAATATGTTCTAGTACAGTGGTACTGATAGTGTCGTCTGCAAATGGGTGCTGACCACAACAAGTTTATTAGAAGGTCATTATGAGCAAAAAATTGAAAACATTTAGAAGTTTTTATAGCAATCTGACAATTTAATGCCTGTTGATTTTAATAACATGACACTAATAAATACATATATACTATTTCCACCGCATTTTACAAAAGTACTAGGTTGTGACAGATTCGTAATTAAAAACTAGTCATTCATCATAGCTAAAGAAGCACTTATTTAAAGTCCTGTCCATTCATCTAACAATCCAGCATATACTGAGCATTGTTCTAGTTATTAGAGATACACAAGTGAACAAAACAAACAACTTCCTTTTGTGATTTTTACATTCTAGTGAGGAAAAGAAGACAATAAATGAATAGGTAATATGCAAATGAAAAAACCACGTCAGTTAATGATTAAGGGGGTGCTATTTTAGATGGTCATTTGGGAAGGCCTCTCTGAGACCTTGACATTTGAGCATGAAGTGAAGGAATGGTCACATGATTCCACAGCAGAACAGCTTTCCAGGGACAGTTATAAGGTAAACTGTTGGGAGGAGGGTACTCACTACAGAGTATAGTATTTAGTCTGGTTGGAGCACAGAGGTAGTCAGAGGCAGAAGAAGATACTTAAAAGGAAGGAAGAGGCCAGATTATAAGAGAGTTACTAGGATCCAGTTAACCTATCCTCTCCTTAAGGCTCATGAATTAAATCTAAGCAGGGTAAGATGTCCTAGAGAATGTGGAGTGATGTGAAACAGTCTGAATTAGATTTTAAACTGATGTGTGACCAGAGTATAGGACAGTAAAACTGGAAGAAGGGAGACTAAATAGGAGCAGTGAGGCAGAGCTGAAAATATTTTGCTCAAAGTTTGCAATAATGAGTCTTAGGTTTTTGCCTTTGGCAACTCAGTGAAATGATGCTGGCTTAGATTAACGTGGCAGCAATAGGTAGAGAGAAATTGTTAGATATGAAGTGTATTTTGAAAATACCAGGCCAGGCGAGGGGGCTCACGCCTGTAATCCCAGCACTTTGGGAGTCTGAGGCAGGTGGATCACTGGAGGTCAGGAGTTCAAGACCAGCCTGGCCAACATGGTGAAACCCCGTGTCTACTAAAAATACAAAAAAAAAAAAAAAAAAAATTTCCCAGATGTGGTGACGCACGCCAGTAATCCCAGCTACTCGGTAGGCTGAGGCAGGAGAATGGCTTGAACCCAGGAGGTAGAGATTGCAGTGAGCTGAGGCTGCACCACTGCACTCCAGCCTGTGAGACACAGCAAGACTCCACCTCAAAAAAAAAAAAAAAAAGAAAAGAAAAAGAAAAAGAATATACTGCTGAAAGAATTTGTTAGATTACAATGAAGGAAATGAGATAAATGGAAAGGGCAAAGATAATTAGAAATATTTTTGTTTATTAGTTATGTAAGTGGAAATGCCTAGTAGACACACATTTGGAAGTCATTATCAAAGACACTGGTATTCAGAACCATAAAACTAGATGGAAATTAGAAAAAGGTGGTATTATTTGTGTGTTGTAAACAAAAGATCACCAAGATATTTGTTAATGGAAAAATACAGACAAGATAGCCTTACAGTGTGTATATGCTATCATTTGTGCAAAAGAATGTATTATTTATTTTTACTTGCCAGTCACTCTTCCAAGCCGTATAAACATACTTATTCATTTACAACTCACAAATCTACGAAGGAAGTACTATTATTAGTTCCTTTTCACATTAAGAGAAAACTGAGGCACAGATCAGCTAAAAGACTTGATGGTTACATAGCAATTGGTGGACATAGAATTTGAGTATAGGCAGCCTTGCTCCATAGTCCCAGCTCTTAAACACACCATATTGTCTCTCACTGAATGTGTATTTGCTATTATTTGCATATAACATGTTTAGAAAAACGTAAGAAACTGGCAACTTTGGTTGTCTTCAAGGAAGTTAATTTGAAGGTCAGAGACAGGGGTGAAAGAATAACATTTCACCATATAAAATTTTTTTACTTTTTGTTTTTCTTTTGAGACAAGGTCTTGCTCTGTCACTCAGAATAGAGCACAGTGGTGCAATCACAGCTCCCTGCAGCCTCGACCCCCACCAGGCTCAAGTGATCCTCTCATCTCAGCCTCCTGAGTAGCTGGGACTACAGCTACCACCATGCCCAGCTAATTAAAAAAAAAATTTTTTTGTAGAGATGGGGGTCCCACTATATTGCCCAGGTTGGTCTTGAACTCCTGGCCTCAAGTGATTCTCCCACGTCAGCCTCCCAAAGTGTTGGAATTACAGGGATGAACCGTAGTGCCTGGTCTACTTTGAATTTTAAATCATGTGACTATATTATTTTCCTACTCATCACTATTTTTTAATAAAAATAATGTCTATGAAATTGGTTTTCACTTTATTCAATAAGGAGTGAATACATTAAAAAAACCTGTCTGAAGATTGAGTGTCAAGATAACTCGATATTTGCAGTTTAGCTTTCTAAAATCACCAGGACAATGTGGTATTCCAGAAAACAAGTGAAGACAGTGTTCCAAGGAGAAAAAATGGTAGCTGTGTCTTTCCAAAGAAAAAAAGATGACAACTGGAGCTGCTCACTGATTTGGGCAATAAGAAGGTAACTGCTGACCTCAACAGGAGAGGTAGTGAAGTAGTAGAGACAGAAACCTAATAGGAGAGGACTGAGTGGAGAGAGTGAATATAAATAATTCTGAGATTTGCTATAAAGAAAAGGAGAAAAATGAAACTGGGGCTAGAGGAACGTGAGGGAACAAGGTACAGTGTAATGGTTAGTCTTATGTGTCCAGGCATGGCTAGACTATCACAGTCAATTACTTAATCAAACACTAATGCAGGAATTTTGTAGATATTCCTTGAAGGAATTTTGTAGATATTTTGTATGGTTAACACCTATAATCTCCTTTAAATAAAGGAGATTACCCTCAATAATGTGAGTGGGTCTCATGCAATCAGTTGAAAGCTTAAGAGAAAAAATAGGTTTTCTAGAGAGGAAATGTTTGCCTCAAGGCTGCAACATAAAGTCCTAGGCTGAGCATGATGGCTCACATCTGTAATCCCAGTGCTTTGTGAGGCAGAGGTGAAAGGATGACTTGAGGTCAGGAGTTCAAGACCAGCCTGGGTAACATAGCAAGACTCCATCTCTACAAAAAATTTAAAAATTACCTGGGCATTGAGATGTGCACCTGTAGTCTCAGCTACTGGGGAGGCCGAGGTGGGAGGATTACATAAACCCAGAATTCAAGGTTGCAGTAATCCACAACTGTGCCACTGCACTTCAGCCTGGGTGACAGAGTGAGACCCTGTCTCTAAAATAAATAAATAAGTAAATAAAATCCTGAGTTTCTAGCCTGCTCCACAGATCTCAGACTCAAGACTGCACGACTCCTGTCTGATTTCCAGCTTGCTGGGGTACCCTACAAATTTCCGATTTGCAAGTTCCCACAATTGTGCTGAGCCACATCAGTGAAACGTGTGTACGTGTGTGTGTGTCTGTGTGCGCGCGTGCGCGAGAGAGAGAGAGAGAGAGAGACAGAGACAGAGAAAGATGCAAGAATATCTCTTAGTTCTGTTTCTCTGGGGGAACCCAGACTGACACAAAGGGTTCCTAAAAGATGGGAGCTATTAGCAAAATAATGAGTTATCTAATAAAAGAAAGAAATTTTGAAGTAATGAGAGTGAGAACAACTTGAGAGACAAAGTTCTTGAGAAGGTGAAAAGGGATCAGATTCACAGTACAAGTACAAGCATTGGCCTTAGAGGCCACTGTAGTTAAGAAAACAGATAGAGGATAAGAGTATAACTGCAGCTAGATAGGTAGGTAGGCTTAATCCCTGAAGGATTCTCTTTCGACTATCCCGATTAAACAGGCAAGATAATCAGCTAAATGTGAAGACTGGATAGGAAATGTAGCTTTGAGGAGAAAGTATAAAACAATTTTGTTAGGATGTGGAAATAACCCTGGAGTATAATACACTAAGGGGATTGCTAGGCAGCATTAAAGGACCACTTGGAAAAAAAAAAAAAAAAAAGTAAAGCCCAGCCCTTATGGTATGTATTTTTCTCCAGCCACTTTCAGCTCTGCTGCAGGTATGGGAGAGATGGTTGTATGGGGTTTTCCTACGGAATATGAAAGAGGAAGACAGAAGCAAGGAAGTTGACGGTATGAAGGAAGATGTAATTATAATAAAGAATGATAAAATCTAAGTGGGAAAAATAAAGGCAGTGAGGACAAGAAGAGTGTGAAGAACATTAAAAACATAGTGTCAAAGTATTTAAAATCACAATTAAAAAAACAGTTGAGTGGAAACACAGAAGAAAACACTGGAACAAAAGGAGAGTTCATCAGGAAATGGGATGCCTAAAACGAAGTCGAAGGACACTGACCCTTTTAATCAATAACCAACAATTTGCATTTCTGTCTTGCTAAACATAAAACTGAAAAGTAAAAAACTGCATTTATATTTAGTGATACCTATTATACCTTTGAAAACTATTGTTATACACCTTGGAAATATGTCTGATATAGTGGAACAAACTAGATTTTTAAAGAGAGAGGTGATTATAGTACTTTATTTTTACAATGCTTATTTTTTTTAAAAGGGATCTTATGACAAACTACCAGTTTCCAAATGACATAGATTTAACAAATCCATTTATCTCTTAAAAAACAATTTTTCTGGAAAGCAGTGTTGCAGTTCCACAAAGACCTAAAAACAGAACTACCATTCAACCCATCAATCCCATTACTGGGTATATACCTGATATGGCTTGGCTCTGTGTCTCCACCCAAATCTTACCTCAAATTGTAATCCCCATAATCCCCACATGCCAAAGCGGGACCAGGTGGAGGTAACTGGGATCATGGGGGCAGTTTCCCACATGCTCTTCTCATGATAGTGAGTTCTTTGGATTATTTTTCTTATTTTTTGAGATGGAGTCTCATTCTGTCGCCCAGACGGGAGTGCAGTGGTGCGATCTCAGCTCACTGCAACCCCCGCCTCCCTGGTTCAAGTGATTCTCGTGCCTCAGCCTCCCTAGTGGCTGAAATTGCAGGCGCCCACCACCAGCCCAGCTAATTTTTGTATTTTTAGTAGAGATGAGGCTTTCACCATGTTGGCCAGGCTGGTCTCGAATGATCTGCCCTCTTCGGCCTCTAAAAGTGTTAGCATTACAGGCGTGAGCCACTGCACCCAGCCAATAGTGAGTTCTCACGAGATCTGATGGGATGTCTTTGTTTTTTTTTTTTTTTGAAGTGGAGTCTTGCTGTGTCACCAAGGCTGTGAATGCAGTGGTGCGATCTCAGCTCACTGCAACCTCCGCCCTCTGGGTTCAAGTGATTCTCCTGCCTCAGCCTCCAGAGTAGCTGGGATTACAGGTGCACGCCACCATGCCCAGCTAGGTTATTTTTTTCTTTTTGAGATGGAGTCTTGCTCTGTCGCCCAGTCTGGAGTGCAGTAGTGCAATCTTGACTCACTGCAACCTCCACCTCCCAGGTTCAAGCGATTCTTCTGCCTCAGCCTTGTAGCTGGGATTACAGGCACGCACCACCATGCCCGGCTAATTTTGTATTTTTAGTAGAGATAGGTTTCACCATGTTGGCCAGGCTAGTCTCGAACTCCTGACCTCAAGTAATCCACCTGTCTCGGCCTCCCAAAGTGCTGGGATTACAGGCATGAGCCACTGCACCTGGCCTGAGATCTGACGGTTTTATACGTCTCTGGCATTTCCCCTGCTTGCACTCACTTCCATCCAGCTGCCCTGTGAAGAATGTGCCTGCTTCTCCTTTGCATTCTGCCATGATTGTAAGTTTCCTGAGGCTTCCCTAGCAATGCAGAACTGTGTGTCAATTAAATCTCTTGCCTTTATGAATTACCCAGTCTAGGAGAATTCTTTATAGCAGTATGAAAACAGACTAATACAACACCCAAAGGAATATAAATCATTCTATCATAAAGACACATGGATGCACATGTTCACTGCAGCACTACTCATACTGGTAAAGACATGGAATCAACCTTAATGCCCAGCAATGGTAGACTGGTTAAAGAAAATGTGGTACATATACACCATGGAAGGCTTTGCAGCCATAAAAAAGAACGAGATCCTGTCTTTTGCAGGGACATGGATGGAGCTGGAGGCCATTATCCTTAGCAAACTAATGCAGGAAAGGAAAACCAAATACCTCATGTTCTCACTTATAAGTGGGAGCTAAACGATGAGAAAGCATGAACACACAGACAGAAACAACAGACAGTGAGGTCTAATGGAGGATGGAAGTCTAGAGGAGGGAGAGAGTCAGGAAATGTAACTAATGGGTACTAGGCTTAATACCTGGGTGACAAAATAATCTGTACAACAAGTCCCTGTGACATAAGCTTTCCTATATAACAAACCTGCACATGTACCCCTGAACGTCAAATAAAAGTTAAAAAATCAATTTTCATCTTCAACAAACTCAGAAAATACATGTAACCCCTAACCACAATATAAGAATATATTAATATGGACAGCAGGAGGATGAGCAGAGAGCATTTAAAATCACAGAAAGGGTAGAAAAAGCATGATAACCATATCTCTAAGAAAAACAAGCACTGGGCGTGTGGTGGTGGGCACACCTATAATCCTAGCACTTTGGGAGGCCAAGGTGGGAGGAAAGCTTGAGCCCAGGAATTTGAGACCAGACTAGGAAACACAGTAAGACCTCTTCTCTACAAAATAAAAAAAAAAAAAAAAAAAAAAAAGGAAAGGAAAGGAAAAGGAAAAAGAAAGAAAAGGAAAATTAGCCAGGTGTGATGGCACATGCCTGTAGTCCCAGCTTCAGGAGGCTAAGGCAGGAGGGTCAATTTAGCCCAGGAGGTTGAGGCTGCAGTAAGTTGTAATCATGCCACTGCACTCCAGCCTGGATGACAGAGCAAGACCCTGTCTCGAAAATAAAAATAAGCTATTTTAGCTTAGTAGAATCCAGACACCATCAGCTATTAGAAGTAGTAGGTTCCATAGAAGATGAAGTGTGTTATGGTCTGAAAATAGGAATATTATCTCAAAGTCTGTATAATAAGCAATTAAATCCCCAAGTCTCTACTCCAAGCCAGGCAGTCAAGCAATTCCTTTATGACACATTCATTTTGGAAGTCCAGACATTTATCTTCTCAAGAAAATAAACCAAAAATCCAGAGTCATCAGACATATGTGTGTGATTATGTTTGGTTTGTGTGAGTGCCCTGAGTGTTTCTTCATTCTATCTAACTCCAAAAGAGCAGACAGCAGCCAAGCTTAAGTGGACTGGAAGATCCTTCTGCAAAGAGGCTGAACTTCTCCAGGGAAGACAGTGATCACTAACAACAATTGAGGATCTATAAAAAAAAAAAAACTAACTGACCACCAGACTGCTCGATAGTGATGCTCACCAATCTGGAAGCCAGAGTCAATGTCCCATCATGCCAGAGGTGAACACACACACCCCTCTGCTATTGAGCTTTTTAGTATCTCACTATCAACAATAACTACAGAGCCAAGAAACAAATATTTGAGGAAAATGTCCAATATGAATTACAGTTTAAAAAGCAGAGAATAAGAAGAAAAAAGGTTAGGACTGACAGCAGAAGAAAACCTCAGAGAAATAATTAATACCATCAACGAAAAGGTATCTACGAAACACAGAATATTTCAAAAAAGGGAGACTTGGGCCGGGTGTAGTGGCCCAAGTGGCGGGGTGTAGGGCCTCCCAGCCCTTTGGGAGGCCGAGGCAGGCAGATCACCTGAGGTCAGGAGTTCGAGACCAACTGGCCGACATGGTGAAACCACATCTCTACTAAAAATGCAAAAATTAGCCAGGCATGGTGGCACATGCCTGTAATCTCAGCTACTCAGGAGGCTGAGGTCGGAGAGTATCCCTTGAACCCAGGAGGCATAGGTCATAGCGAGCCAAGATCGTGCCACCGTACTCCAGTCTGGGTGACAGAGCAAGACCCCGTCTCAAAAAAAAAAGGAAGACTTGGAAAATAAGAAAGAACTCTTAGAAATGTAAAAGGATACTCAAAATTAATAAACATGAGGTAACACAGTGGACAGAAAGGACAAAGAAATGGAAAATAAACATACATAACACTGTATCATCACAAAATTTCAGGATATCATCATGAAATTTCAGTAACAAACAAAAAAATCTGCAAAGCTTCCAAAGACAAGAAACAGGATCACAACCAGAAGTCTAAAATTAGCACTGGACTTCTCAACAGCAACTTTGGAAACGAGAAACAAAATCTTAAAAAAAAATTTTCAATTATGAAATTTAAATTGGGTCAAACTATTAAGCAAGAAGCTACAACATGTTTTTCAGGCACGTAAAGTCTCAAATACATATTTCCCAAATTGTCTTTTTCTCAAGAAACTATCAAAAAATATGCTACACAAAAAGGAGAGAACAAATTAAGAAAGAAAGAAAACAAAAGATAATAGGGGATCTAAAAAAGAAAGACAAAAAATTCAAACAGCAGAAACAATTAAGTAGCATCTAAATTTTAGAAAATGAGGCATAATTTTAAAAAATTAAAAGAAAAAAAGTCAAAAATTTGATCAGAACACTTGTTTAAAAATAAAACCAAAAAGCTTCACAAGTACACATGACAAAGAAACTTAAAATAACAAGTTATGGCATAGTCATAAGATGGTACCATTATAGAGAATTTTTATTTTTGTACTTTTCTCTTTTTCTGAATTCTCTGTAAGTAGTATATGTAATTTTATATACACTGAAAATATTCTAGTGTACAATATGAAAACGAAAAGTATGTTAAAACATTTTTCAAGTTCTGTGCCCTCTTTACAACCAAACCAAGTAAGCTTAGCTGTTCTCTATATTAAAATCACAAGGATATGAACAGACACTTCTCAAAAGAAGACATTTATGCAGCCAACAGACACATGAAAAAATGCTCATCATCACTGGTCATCGGAGAAATGCAAATCAAAACCACAGTAAGATACCATCTCACACCAGTTAGAATGGCAATCATTAAAAAGTCAGGAAACAACAGATGCTAGAGAGGATGTAGAGACATAGGAATGCTTTTACACTGTAAGTGGGAGTGTAAACTAGTTCAACCATTGTGGAAGACAGTGTGGTGATTCCCCAGTTATCTAGAACTAGAAATATCATTTGACCCAGCGATCCCATTACTGGCTATATACTCAAAGGATTATAAATCATGCTACTATAAAGACACATGCATACGTATATTTACTGCGACAATATTCACAATAGTAAAGACTTGGAACCAACCCAAATGTCCATCAATAATAGGCTGGATTAAGAAAATGTGGCACATATACACCATGGAATACTATGCAGCCATAAAAAAGGATGAGTTCACGTCCTTTGCAGGGGCATGGATGCAGCTGGAAACCATCATTCTCAGCAAACTATCACAAGGACAGAAAACCAAACACCGCATGTTCTCACTCATAGGTGGGAATTGAACACTGAGAACACTTGGACACAGGGTGGGGAACGTCACACACCAGGGCCTGTCGTGGGGTGGGGGCAGGGGGAGGGATAGCATTAGGAGAAATACCTAATGTAAATGATGAGCTAATGGAAGCAGCAAACCAACATGGCACATGTATACCTATGTAACAAACCTGCACATTGTGCACATGTACCCTAGAACTTAAAGTATAATTAAAAAAAAAATCACAACGTTGGGCTGGGCATGGTTGCTCAGGCCTGTAATCTCAGCGCTTTGGGAGGCCAAGGTGGGCGGACTGCCCGAGGTGAGGAGTTCGAGACTAGCCTGGCTAACATGATAAAACCCCGTCTCTCCCAAAAATACAAAAATTAGCTGGGTGTGGTAGTGCACGCCTGCAGTCCCAGCTACTCGGGAGGCTGAGGCAAGAGAATCACTTGAACTCAGGAGGGGGAGGTTGCAGGGAGCCAAGATTGTGCCACAGCACTCCAGCCTGGGTAACACAGTGAGACTCCATCTCAAAAACAACAACAACAAACAACATTAGACAATTACTAAGTGACTTATGTATGTTACATATTTAACAAAAATTATTTCATCTATATGACTCAGGAAACAAAAGATAAATTATTTCATTTAAGCTTCCCAATACTACCACGAGAAAGGATTATTAGTATCTATGCTATAAAGACGAAGAAAGGCACAGGAGTTACATAATTTGTCCAAAGTCACCAAGTTAATAAATTCAAGATATGTAATGCTTATAAAGTAATTTTTAAAATCCTTGTTTCTTTACAAAAACTGGCTGCCAAAAGAAAGCTAATTTTCAGAACCGATGATAGAACGTAAAAGACAATAATACTAAGAAAAAAGTTAGAAAATTTCAAGTTATTATAGACCTAAATATACAGATTCAAAAAAGTAATTACATTTTAAAGTTATACTTTATTTTATGGGTAAAACTACATGATATAGTGGTATTTGCAGATTTCACCAACTATTGGGCATTAATCCCACGAGAACATCAGAAGTCTGTTATATACAAACCCTAGAAAATTGAATAAAGATTTTATATCTGGAGGAGGGATGAAAAACACAACGGTGAAAAAGTAAAGTAAGACAAAGTAAAAGTACAAAGCAATGAAAAGGTCAAACTCTAGAAGAATTTTGAAAAATGAATATAAAAAAATAAAATGTAAATACAAAAAGGAAGAGCAATTATTTATACTACATGGTCTATTCTTTGATAATACCAGATTGCTCTAAAATTTTCACATCTTAACCATAGAAACCAGAAACAATCTGTGTGGTTAAAAATTATAAAATAATTATTGAATTTAATAAACAGAATATGGGTCCTGAGAGCCAAAAGATAAGTAAAATGAAAATGCAGGCTGGGTGTGGTTGTAATCCCAGCACTTTTAGAGGCCATGGTATGCAAACTGCTTGAATTCAGGAGTTCAAGGCCATGGGCAACATGGCGAAATCCCAACTCTACAAAAACTACAAAAAAATTAGCCGGATGTGGTGGCATGCACCTGTGGTCCCAGCTACTCGGGATGCTGAGGTGGAAGGATCGCTTGAGCCTGGGAAGCGGGGGTTGCAAGGAAACAAAACCATGCCACTGCACTGCAGCCTGGGCAACAGAGTGAGAATCAGAAAATAAACATACATTAAAAAAAAGCAAAAGAAAAGAAAATGCATGCTGTTCGTTTTCTTAACAGCGGTTCTTGAAAGTTTATCTACTTGTTTATTTATGATTTCCCCATCTGTCATGTCTTATTACTTTTTATTAAAATAGAACAAGCAAATCAATAAATTCTGAGTAAAACCATAAAGGAAGGGAAATATTGGCAAATACTATTATCCGTTTTTCTCATTAAAGAATAATAGAATAATAGCTGCAGCTTACTAAATGCCAAGCATTGTCCCAAGCACTCCTAATCTCTTTTCTTTCCCACTTTGCAAATAAAGAGAGTAAGACCAGTTATGTTAAGGACTTGTCCAAGGTTATCCAACTAGTAAAAGACAGAGACGAATATGAATTCAGACAGGCACGCCAGAACCCATTCTATCAACCACAGTATTACATGATTTCAGCAACTGAAGGCCAAATAAAAAGACTTCAATTTTCTGAGGCAAAATTATTTTCAGCCTCTGATCATAAATTAAAGCAATTTCATATGTCATTTCCTTCCTCAGAGGAAAAGTCTGGAGATGCTGATTCTATAAGAAAAGTTAATCAATAATGAATCATATGTGAATATAAAATCAACCATAAGGTATAAAGAAATGTTTATCCCTCAGGAGTCTGAGAGTGACTTATTGATAAGCACTGATGAAGACTGGCCTTGTGATGATCTTGACCACATTTTCTAATTTTTTCCCAAATTCATTTTAGGAGGGAAAAAAGAGAATAGAAACAATCTTCATGTCATTATTAGTACAAATTTTGTATTTTAACTCCCTTTTGTTCAAATTAGAACTTTAGAAGTCAGAGGCAGCCAGCATTAATATATTTATAACATCACAGAAAATTATGTAGGTGAGAAAATAACAAAATATTAAAACGTTAACCAACATTACTCAGCCTGAATGTTGCCCTCTAACAAAAATTTGAAGTCAACAAGTTGTAAAGTATTGGTATACATTTTAAAAGCAAATGTCTAAAAATAAACATAATCCTGAAAAGCAATTCTTTGAGAGTAAAATTTTAACTTCATAATACCAAACAAGAAAGTGGTAAAACAAAGAAAATCTTACCTATTTTTGAACTTAAAAGGAAAATATTCCCTCAAAAAATAAAAATGTCATCAAATTTGAAAATAAAAAAGTTCCCAGTCTCAGATTGTAAATCCACCAAAATAATTATGACACAATGTTTCTTACATAAATTAAATCCACAAACTGTACTACTATGTCCCACTGAGATAGCTATTTCAAATAAAAATAAGGGCACTTAGCTCTGAAGATCAATAGTTAATGAAAACTACAATGTAAAGCTTATTAAAATGGGCCAAATAACTAGGACAGTATGTTTGAAAATTCCAACGAAGGGATTAAAGAAAATATAAAATTTAATTGTTAACAGTCTCTTTCAATTTAATGGTAAAATATATTCTAAAAAGAGAGTTTACCTCCAATGGAAAAATAAGAATATACTTATGAGTGTGGAATAAACAGACATAAAGAACTATATAATGATAAAAAAAACTTTTAATAAAAATGTAAAAGTATACAATTAAATGCAATGCATAAACACTGACAACAGGGACACATATTGAATTCATAACAGGAAAATGGGATATTTGGAAAACAGATTAAAAATACTACTGATAAGACCACTCTGATGACTTATGAAGCTCTGGAACTCATCACATCTGTACCCTACAAAATAACTAACCTGATTGTCTCTCTTCTCAGCTAAGATTTAAGCAATGTCAAGGAGCATTTTATTCCAAAGCCGATAATCATATCTGGCCATAACTGCCTTGTAACTGTCCATGCACATAGTCTTTGAAGCAGAGGATTAAATGTTCCTGCCCATTTTATCTAGTCCCCAAGACTTGTCCTGCAAAGTGAATAAAAATGATTATCTTTTAATCTATTCCTCGTACATATACCATTAAAAATAAGAAGAGGGCAAAGATGAGAACAAAATGTCCTTGAAAAGAGGGATAATTGTTGTCCAGCCTGGAATTAAGTTCTCAGCAAGCCCTCTGTGCTTTGTTGAAGGGTAGGTGACTGCTATGTCTCACATTTTATACAAGTGAGCCTTGGAAGATATAACCATTAATTAGTGTAGACACATGGGAATTACAGTAATACGTTAAAGTAAATTGAGAGAACAACTGAAAAGTTTTATCCTTTGAAAATTCCGTATAAACGTATGTTGTTAATTTGTTTTTTTGATATCTGATTTTGAAAAATAATTTCGAATTTAAATAGGCTACATGATGATACTAATATAAAAAGAACACAGGTGAAAACAAAATCACATTCATCAAGTAGTTTTAAAGGTTATGATGAACGCAGGTAGACCGTGGAAAAGAGACACAGAAAGGCAATGGGGGGAGGCAGGAGACACTCAATTCAAAAGGAATAATGAAAATATATTTAAACATACACAAGATTAGCAGATGGAGATAACCAAAGGGATAAGTATAGAGAAAACAATACAATGAAAGTTACTAAAAATGAGCAAATGAAAAGGAGAGCTGAAATGGCATCAAAAAGGCAGTAAAATACAGTAATACTGCATTTACATGGCAGTGAAGGACAAATGCAAATGAGTTAAAGTGCATTGTTCACAAAATAAAACAATGTTTTAAGAGTCAAAATATTCTGCGTATTTCTATAATATAGCACTCCTCTTATGTTCTTAGAGTAAATGGCATACAATTAACCTTTTAAACAGAATGCACACAAGTTTCTAGATTAAAGAAAAGTAGCTTGCCCCTACAGAGAAGCCAAAGGTTGTGCTCTATCTTGAGAACTGTAAACTAATTTTTGTGTCTTCTTCTTTTAAATGGTCATTTCACAATACTATCAGCCCTCAATTAACTTATTGCTTCTCCTTCTCTCTTGGCCTTGGGAAACCCAGATAATAACTTCTGCATAAAAGTAAATTCGTTAATTCTTATGACAGCAAAGTTGGTTATTTACAAGCAATTTCTACTTTATTTTCAAGGTTTTTTTTTCCAAATTGCTGAATTTCCTATGCATGTGACAATCAAGTAAATGGGCATTACTGTACACAGAAAGAAGTAAGACGAAAAGGAACAGAAAGTATAAAGAAAAGAAAAAAAGCAACGACCAAATGCAGAGGATACTACGAAAGGTTGGCGAATTAGAAAAAAAAAGTCTAACATTATATAACTGTTTGAATAATAAACAGTATTTTTACAGTAACTTTTTAAAAAAGATAAACAGGGTAAAAAATCTTTTTCTTCCTGATAATGAGGAAGAAGATACTCTCAAAACACAGTATGAACTGTGTCTGATGTATGTTCTACATAGGTATTTTTCAACAAATTATATTTTTAATCTTTTGAAAAAAGATAAAATTGGGTAAAATATCTCCCTCTCTTCCTAATAATGAGAAAAGAACACTCTCAGAAAAAACAAACTGTGCTTCATGTTTACTTGGTTAGGACTGTAACTAACAGAATAACAGACACTAATATGAATTAATATGAATTAACTGAGTAAGGGAAAAATGAGAATTGGGAAAAAAAGAATGTAAAAACATATACACAACTCCAGTTATTATCTTATTGGCTTTGGGCAACAGGTTAAGCCAAAAAATAACAAAATTTTAAAGCAGATATTTGCAATGTGTAGTTCCCAAATCACCAGCATCAACATTGCCTAGGAACTTCTTGCCCAGCCATCTGTTTGAACAAGCTCTGTAGGTGATTCTGGTGTGTGCTAAAGTCTGAGGAACAGTGCTTTAAATAAATTAGATAAATGAGAAATTAAAATTTAAATGCAAAATGAAATGTAACTAATGAGTCTAAATCTGGTTTATTATGATAATAAGTAAGATGAATATAGGCAAAGTTACTGCTACTAAAAAAGATGTAATTTGGGAGTATTTAAACATACACTTATGAACACTCAACAAGTATACACACACTCCATTATGAATGAAAAAAATAGTCATTTTAGGTAGGCACAGTTAAAGCAGTGACGGAAAAATAGAACAATTGCTAAAATAAGAAAATTACCTCGTTACTGAAAACCAAGAAAAAAAATGAATATAGTTGGTTGACAAGTTGTCATGATAATTCTAAAAGAAAGCAAAAGTGAAAACTAATCTGTTAGTTCTTCAAATTATCTACAGCCTACCTTAAGAACTGACTTTAAAGATGTTAATATTTGAGTATGTTTAAGTTATTATAGCACTAGGAATAGGAAGAATGTTTGTTACCCTAATGGACAGAATTGTTTCAAGTATATAAACAAGTATTTACCCACTTATCTATAATAATAATGAGCAATAAAACAATGTAATTATGCGATGAAAAAATACAATAAATTTGGAATTTCAACTATTATTACTTGGGTTTTCCAAAGAATTTGGCCTAGTGGTCTCTTAAAATTTCTTCAGTTATAAATAAGGATGTACATTAGTAACTAAACATTCAGACAGACATTTGATGACACTGGCCAGAAAATTTCAATTTTCATTCTTAAGGCTATCAAATGCCAGTTATGAAAACAGGCATAAATTTTAACAAAAACTATTCAAATGACTGTTTTATTCTAATTAAATTTTTAATTAAATCTTCTCATTAAGTTTGTAATCAGAATAAAACATAGTCAACAAAACTAAATGAAAAGGAAATAAAATGTTAATTACTTACCAGCCAGGGTACTTGTATGCCTAAAAGCTCTGACCTGGGAGTCTGACAAACCCGTCAAAAGGGAGATTACTGTGTCCATCATATACTCATCATAAATTATGCTATACTGACACTGTCGAATCAGGACTCCAATAAATTCACAAAAGTTTGAACGAAATTTTTTCCACTGAGGTCCAGGCATGGTAAGAGGATAATCACCACTGTCCTAAAAAACAGAAAAAGAACATATTAAGTATGTCACATTACAGAGTTTGATGAAAGCTTTTTTTTTCTTCCTACCTACATAGGAACCCTTTTTTGCAAAGCAGTTATAGAAAGAAATAGGTGACTTTCATAGCACATTTGATTGCTTTATTTCTCTTTGATTTTGATCTGCCACAACTAAGTAATTCTTAAAATACTCAAAATTACTATTTTAGAACCAGCATCTACTTTATTGTTCTAAGTCTTTGGTTGAAAATAATAGTTCCACTTTGTTGTATTTGGATCATAGTTGAGGTAATCTGAAACAGTAAAAAAAATTTTTTAAAGTTTAGACTAGAAAGGATGATTGCCAGTTGAATTTTGATGAAAGCTATCATGATACCTGTGTCATACCACATCTTTCAATATTTTAAATTGAATTTTTAAGAAGTGAGAATTTCAAAAGTATAAGCATTTCATTGGGAAGTGCAAAAATAATCTTACACATCCTAAATTCCAACCAAATTTCCTCAAATTTTACTATGAACTTCATTTTAATACCACTTCATACACTGGACTGATTAAGTTTTCTAAGAAAACAATCTGAGTTCTTGATATCACCAGGTTGTGTCATCTTGTTTTAAAACACAAAACGTAGAGTACAACCCAATTGGTTAGAGGTTTCTCTGTCTAGTGTAAGACACTTAAGTACAGAAATGGAAATTAACAAGGTAGGGAATGAGGAATTCTGTGAACAAGGTTGCCTGAATATTCTCAATGTGTAGCTTTTTGTCCTTTCTAGAACAAAGTGCTGCTAGGCAAATTTCTTTATAAATGAGGCCTTGAGCTCTACTGGAGTCATAGGAAAGAGAACTAGTGTGATATACAGAACACCAGATCCCAAGAACAGGTAACAAAAAGCAGACACTACAGGAGAACGGACTCAGAGTCAAAATCCCAAAAGTTAGTTAATGTTGGTGTTAGATGAGTGGTAGGGAGCACTACATGACGGGGAGTGTGAGTGTAGATTGGAGAAGTTACATAGACTAGAAAGAAAAGATGCTTCCTAAAGGTATCTCAGCAGCCTACCTGCTGCTTCTATATCACAAAACCCCACTATAGTAGAGTTCCTCTTGTTTTTTTCTTTTTTTGCTGTTCTTTTTTGTTTTTAATTATAATTATTTTTCACTCTACTTTTAGTTCTAGGGTACATGTGCACAACGTGCAGGTTTGTTACATATGTATACATGTGTCATGTTGGTGTGCTGCACCCATTAACTCATCATTTACATGAGGTATATCTCCTAATGCTATTCCTCCCCCCTCCCCCCACCCCACGGCAGGTCCCAGCGTGTGACGTTCCCTTCCTGTGTCCAAGTGTTCTCACTGTTCAACTCCCACCTATGAGTGAGAACATGCAGTGTTTGGTTTTTTGTCCTTGTGATAGTTTCCTGAGAATGATGGTTTCCAGCTTCATCCATGTCCCTACAAAGGACATGAACTCATCATTTTTTATGGCTGCATATTATTCCACAGTGTATATGTGCCATATTTTCTTAATCCAGTCTATCATTGATGGACATGTGGGTTGGTTCTAAGTCTTTGCTATTGTGAATAGTGCCGCAATAAACATACGTGTGCATAGGTCTTTATAGCAGCATGATTTATAATCCTTTGGATAGATACCCAGTAAGGGGATGGCTGGCTCAAATGATATTTCTAGTTCTAGATCCTTGAGGAATCGCCACACTGTCTTCCACAATGGTTGAACTAGTTTACAGTCCCAACAACAGTGTAAAAGTGTTCCTATTTCTCCCCATCCTCTTCAGTACCTGTCATTTCCCGGCTTTTTAATGATTGCCATTCTAACTGGTGTGAGATGGTATCTCACTGTGGTTTTGATTTGCATTTCTCTGACGGCCAGAGATAATGAGCATTTTTTCACGTGTCTGTTGGCTGCATAAATGTCTTCTTTTGAGAAGTGTCTGTTCATATCCTTAGCCCACTTGTTGATGGGGTTGTTTTCTTTCTTGTAAATTTGTTTGAATTCTTTGTAGATTCTGGATATTAGCCTTTTGTCAGATGAGTAGATTGCAAAAATCTTCTCCCATTCTGTAGGTTGCAAAAATCTTCTCCCATTCTGTAGGTTACCTGTTCACTCTGATGGTAGTTTCTTTTGCTGTGCAGAAGCTCTTTAGTTTAATTAGATCCCATTTGTCAGTTTTGGCTTTTGTTGCCATTTCTTTTGGTGTTTTAGACGTGAAGTCCTTGCCCATGCCTATGTCCTGAGTGGTATTGCCTAGGTTTTCTTCTAGAGTTTTTATGGTTTTAGGTCTAACATGTAAGTCTTTAATTCATCTTGAATTAATTTTTGTATAAAGTATAAGGAAGGGATCCAATTTCAGCTTTCTACATGTGGCTAGCCAGTTTTCCCAGCACCATTCATTAAATAGGGAATCCTTTCCCCATTGCTTGTTTTTCTCAGGTTTGTCAAAGATCAGATAGTTGTAGACGTGTGATATTATTTCTGAGGGCTCTGCTCTGTTCCATAGGTCTACATCTCTGTTTTGGTACCAGTGCCATGCTGTTTTGGTTACTGTAGCCTTGTAGTATAGTTTGAAGTCAGGTAGCATGATGCCTCCAGCTTTGTTCTTTTGGCTTAGGATTGTCTTGGCAATGCGGGCTCTTTTTTGGTCCCATATGAACTTTAAAGTAGTTTTTTCCACTTATCTGAAGAAAGTCATTGGTAGCTTGATGGGGATGGCATTCAATCTATAAATTACCTTGGGCAGTATGGCCATTTTCACGATATTGATTATTCCTATCCATGAGCATGGAATGTTCTTCCATTTGTTTGTGTCGTCTTTTATTTCATTGAGCAGTGGTTTGTAGTTCTCCTTGAAGAGGTCCTTCACATCCCTTGTAGGTTGGATTCCTAGGTATTTTATTCTCTTTGAAGCAATTGTGAATGGGAGTTCACTCATGATTTGGCTCTCTGTTTGTCTGTTACTGGTGTATAAGAATGCTTGTGATTTTTCCACATTGATTTTGTATCCTGAGACTTTGCTGAAGTTGCTTATCAGCTTAAGGAGATTTTGGGCTGAGACAATGGGGTTTTCTAAATATACAATCCTGTCATCTGCAAACAGGGACAATTTGACTTCCTCTTCTCCTAATTGAATACCCTTTATTTCTTTCTCCTGCCTGACTGCCCTGGCCAGAACTTCCAACACTATGTTGAATAGGAGTGGTGAGAGAGGGCATCCCTGTCTTGTGCCAGTTTTCAAAGGGAATGCTTTCAGTTTTTGCCCATTCAGTATGATACTGGCTGTGGGTTTGTCATAGATAGCTCTTATTATTTTGAGATACGTCCCATCAATACCTAATTTATTGAGAGTTTTTAGCATGAAGGCTGTTGAATTTTGTCAAAGGCCTTTTCAGCATCTATTGAGATAATCATGTGGTTTTTGTCTTTGGTTCTGTTCATGTGCTGGATTACGTTTATTGATTTGTGTATGGTGAACCAGCCTTGCATCCCAGGGATGAAGCCCACTTGATCATGGTGGATGAACTTTTTGATGTGCTGCCAGATTCAGTTTGCCGGTATTTTATTGAGGACTTTTGCATCGATGTTCATCAGGGGTATTGATCTAAAGTTCTCTTTTTTTGTTATGTCTCTGCCAGGCTTTGGTATCAAGATGATGCTGGCCTTATAAAATGAGTTAGAGAGGATTCCCTCTTTTTCGGTTGATTGGAATAGTTTCAGAAGGAATGGTACCAGCTCCTCTTTGTACCTCTGGTGGAATTTGGCTGTGAATCCATCTCGTCCTGGACTTTTTTTGGTTGGTAGGCTATTAATTAGTGTCTCAATTTCAGAACCTGTTATTGGTCTATTCAGGGATTCAACTTCTTCCTGGTTTAGTCTTGGGAGGGTGTATGTGTCCAGGAATTTATCCATTTCTTCTAGATTTTCTAGTTTATTTGCGTAGAGGTGTTTATAGTTTTCTCTGACGGTAGTTTGTATTTCTGTGGGATCGGTGGTGATATCCCCTTTATCATTTTTTATTGCGTCTATTTGAGTCTTCTCTCTTTTCTTCTTTATTAGCCTTGCCAGTGGTCTATCAATGTTGTTGATCTTTTCAAAAAACCAGCTCCTAGATTCATTAATTTTTTGAAGGGTTTTTTCTGTCTCTATCTCCTTCAGTTCTGCTCTGATCTTAGTTATTTCTTGCTTTCTGCTAGCTTTTGAACGTGTTTGCTCTTGCTTCTCTGGTTCTTTCAATTGTGATGTTAGGGTGTCAATTTTAGATCTTTCCTGCTTTCTCTTGTGGGCATTTAGTGCTATAAATTTCCCTCTACACACTGCTTTAAATGTGTCCCAGAGATTCTGGTATGTTGTGCCTTTGTTCTCACTGGTTTCAAACAACATCTTTATTTCTGCCTTCATTTCGTTATGTATCCATTAGTCATTCAGGAGCAGGTTGTTTAGTTTCCATGTAGTTGAGCAGTTTTGAGTGAGTTTCTTAATCCTGAGTTCTAGTTTGATTGCACTGTGGTCTGAGAGACAGTTTGTTATAATTTCTGTTCTTTTACATTTGCTGAGGAGTGCTTTACTTCCAACTATGTGGTCAATTTTGGAATAAGTATGACGTGGTGCTGAGAAGAATGTATATTCTGTTAATTTGGGGTGGAGAGTTCTGTAGATGTCTATTAATTCTGCTTGGTGCAGAGCTGAGTTCAATTCCTGGATATCCTTTTTAACTTTCTGTCTCATCGATCTGTCTAATGTTGACAGTGGGGTGTTAAAGCCTCTCATAATTATTGTGTGGGAGTCTAAATCTCTTGTAGGTCTCTAAGGACTTTCCTTATGAATCTGGGTGCTCCTGTATTGGGTGAATATATATTTAGGATAGTTAGCTCTTCTTGTTGACTTGATCCCTTTACCATTATGTTATGGCCTTCTTTGTCTCTTTCTATCTTTGTTGGTTTAAAGTCTGTTTTATCAGAGACTAGGATTGCAACCCCTGCCTTTTTTTGTTTTCCATTTGCTTGGTAGATCTTCCTCCATCCCTTTATTTTGAGCCTACGTGTGTCTCTGCACTTGAGATGGGTCTCCTGAATACAGCACACTGATGGGTCTTGACTCTTTATCCAATTTGCCAGTCTGTGTCTTTTAATTGGAGCATTTAGTCCATTTACATTTAAGGTTAATATTGTTATGTGTGAATTTGATCCTGTCATTATGTTACCTGGTTATTTTGTTCATTAGTTGATGCAGTTTCTTCCTAGCATCCATGGTCTTTACAATTTGGCATGTTTTTGCAGTGGCTGGTACTGGTTGTTCCTTTCCATGTTTAGTGCTTCCTTCAGGAGCTCTTGTAGGGCAGGCTTGGTGGTGACAAAATCTCTTAGCATTTGTTTGTCTCTAAAGGATTTTATTTCTCCTTCACTCATGAAGCTTAGTTTGGCTGGATATGAAATTCTGGGTTGAAAATTCTTTTCTTTAAGAATGTTGAATGTTGGCTCCCACTCTCTTCTGGCTTGTACAGTTTCTGCTGAGAAATCCACTGTTAGTCTGATGGGCTTCCCTTTGTGGGTAACCCGACCTTTCACTCTGGCTGCCCTTAACATTTTTTCCTTCATTTCAACTTCGGTGAATCTGACAATTATGTGTCTTGGAGTTGCTCTTCTCAAGGAGTATCTTCATGACATTCTCTGTATTTCCTGAATTTGAATGTTGGCCTGCCTTGCTAGGTTGGGGAAGTTCTCCTGGATAATATCCTGCAGAGTGTTTTCCAACTTGTTTCCATTCTCCCTGTCACTTTCAGGTACACCAATCAGATGTAGATTTGGTCTTTCACCATAGTCCCATATTTCTTGGAGGCTTTGTTTGTTTCTTTTTACTCTTTTTTCTCCAAACTTCCTTTCTCGCTTCATTTCATTCATTTGATCTTCAATCACCGATACCCTTTCTTCCAGTTGATCGAATCAGCTACTGAAGCTTGTGCATTTGTCACGTAGTTCTAGTGCCATGGTTTTCAGCTCCATCACACCATTTAAGGACTTCTCTACACTGGTTATTCTAGTTAGCCATTCGTCCAGTCTTTTTTTGGTTTTCAGCTTCTTTGTGATGGGTTCCAACTTCCTCCTTTAGCTC
The DNA here is from genome assembly GCF_000001405.40 of Homo sapiens. NCBI lineage: Eukaryota > Metazoa > Chordata > Mammalia > Primates > Hominidae > Homo > Homo sapiens. The sequence goes on from NC_000003.12 coordinate 136,527,553, forward strand.
AGAAAAGTTTGATCCTCTGAAGCCTCCTTCTCTCAACTTGTCATTCTCCCTCCCGCTTTGTTCCGTTACTGACGAGGAGCTGTGTTCCTTTGGAGGGGGAGAGGCAATCTGATTTTTAGAATTTTCAGCTTTTCTGCTCTGTTTTTTCCCCATCTTTGTGGTTTCATCTACCTTTGGTCTTTGATGATGTTGACATACACATGGGGTTTTGGTGTGGATGTCCTTTCTGTTTGTTAGTTTTCCTTCTTACAGTCAAGACCCTCAGCTGCAGGTCTGTTGGAGTTTGCTGGAGGGCCACTCCAGACCCTGTTTTCCTGGGTATCAGCAGCGGATGCTGCAGAACAGTGAATATTGCTGAACAGCAAATGTTGCCACCTGATTGTTCCTCGGGAAGCTTCATCTCAGAGGGTTATCCGGCCGTATGATGTGTCAGTCTGCCCCTATTTGGGGATGCCTCCCAGTTAGGCTACTTGGGGGTCAGGGACCCACCTGAGGAGGCAGTCTGTCTGTTCTCAGATCTCAAACTCCGTGCTGGGAGAACCACTAATCTCCTCAAAGCTGTCAGACGGGGACATTTAAGTCCGCAGAAGTTTCTGCTGCGTTTTGTTCAGCTATGCCCTGCCCCAGGGTGGAGTCTACAGAGGCAGACAGGCCTCCTTGAGCTGTGGTGGGCTCTACCCAATTTGAACTTCCTGGCTGCTATGTTTACCTACTCAAGCCTCAGCAATGGCAGGCGACCCTCCCCCAGCCTTACTGCAGCCTTGCAGTTTGATCTACTGCTGTGCTAGCAGTGAGTGAGGCTCCGTGGGCATGGGACCCTCTGAGCCAGGCGCTATAAGAGATGTGCAGATATCAATTAAGGAAACAGGAAACATGAAAAAGCAAAGAAACTTGACATCTCCAAAGGAATACAATAATTCCCCAGCAACAGATGTCCCCGCACCCCCCCCCCCAAAAAATCACTAAGTCCTGGAAAAGGAATCCAAATTATTTATTCTAAAGAAGCTCAGTGAGATACAACAGAATTCTGAAAAACAATACAGAGGAGTCAGCAAAACAATTCAGCATATAAACCAAAAATTTACCAAAGAAATAGATATCATTAAAAGGAACCAAGTCAGGCGCAGGGGCTCACATGTATCATCCCACCAGCTCGGGAGGCTGAGGTGAGTGGATTCCTTGAGCTCAGGACATGGCAAAACCCCGTCTCTACCAAAAATACAAAATATTAGTCAGGCATGGTGGTATGTGCCTGTATTCCCAGCTATTTGGGAGGCTGAAGTGGGAGAATCACTTGAGCCCAGGAGGCAGAGGTTGCAGTGAGCCAAGATCATGCCACTGCACTCCAGTCTGTGTGACAAAGCAAGACCCTGACTGAAAAAGCAAAAAACAAAACAAAACAAAAAAAAACAGAAAACAAACCAAAAAACCCCCACAAATTTTGGAACTGAATAATTCATTGAATAAAATAAAAAATACATTTGCAAGCTTCAACAAAAGACTGGATCAAGCAGAAAAATGAGTATCAGAGCCTGAACACAGGTCTTCTGAAATAATTCAGCCAGACAAAAATAAAGAAAAATGAACTATGCCTTTGTGATATATGAAATACCACAGAGCACCCAAATGTTCAATTTGGGGTCCCAGAAGGCCAAGACAGAATGAAAGCATTTTAAAACCTACTTAATAAAATAATAGATGGAAACTTCCCAAGTCTAGCAAGAGATACAGACATTTAGATACAAGAGGCTAAGATCCAAAAAGGTCTTCTTCATGGCACGTTATAGTCAAACTGTTTTAACGTCAAAGACAGAGAGAATTCTGAAAACAGCAAAAGTGTCTAGTCATATATAAAGAAACCTTCATCAGACTACCAGTAAATTTCTCAGCAGAAACCTTATAGGACCAGAGAGAATGGAAGGACATATTCACACTGCTAAAAGAAAACAACAACAACAACAAAAAACCCTGCTAGTCAACAGCACTATATTCAGCAAAACTATCTTTAATAAATGGAGAAATAACATTTTTCCCAAACAAGCAAAAGCTAAGGAAATCCATCACCACCAGATCTGTTCTACACAAAAAAATGCTCAAGAGAGTCCTAAAACTGGATGTGAATGAACAATGTTTACCATGAAGAAAACACACAAAAGTATAAGTCTCACTGGTAAAGCAAACACACATATGAGGAAGATAAAATAATCAAATGACACTGCTACAGAAAATCACCAAACAACAAAGAAAAACAATAGGAGAAAAAGAAAGAAACAAATAATATTACAAAACAACCAGAAAACAATTAACACTATGACAGGAACAAAGGGTCACATAGTAATATTAACTTTGAATGTAAACGGATTAAATATTCCACTAAAAAGACAAAGACCAGATGAGTAGATAAAAGACAGGATCCAACCACATGCTGCCCACAAGTAATGCACTTTACCTGTAAAGACACATACAGACTGAAACTAAAGGGATGGACAAAGATATTCCACACAAATAGAAATGAAAAGTGAGCAAGAACAGCTATACTTATGATGAGTGAAACAAACTGTACATCAAAAACAGTCATAAAGACAAAGGTCATTATATAATGATAAAGAGATTAATTCAACAATAATAATTAATAATTTTTAGTATATATGCACCCAACAGTGGAGCATCCAGATTTATAAGGCAAACATTACTAAATCTAAATAGACTCCCAGACTATAACAGAGACTTCAACACCTCACTCTCAGCATTCGATCATCTAGACAGAAATTCATTAAAGTAACACTGGATTTAAACTAGATCTTAAACCAAATAGACTTGACATTTATAGGACATTTTATCCAACAACTGCAGAATACACATTATTCTCTGAGATCAGACAAAATTGGGTGCGTTCAGGGTGGTATGGCCATAGACAGAATATACATTATTCTCATTAGCACATGGATAGACCATATGTTAAGCCACAAAACAAGTCTCGTCAAATTTTTAAAAATCAAAATCATATGAAATATCTTCTCAGACCACAATGGAATAAAACCAGAAATCAATACAAAGAGAAACTCTGAAAACCTTACAAATACATGAAAATTAAAAAACACACTCTTGAATAACCAGTCAACGAAGAAATTAAGGTGTAAATCAAAACATGCCTTGAAATAAATGAAAGTGGAAACACAACATACCAAAACCTGTGGGATATAGCAAAAACTGCAGTAGGATGAAAGTTTATAGAAATAAACACCTGCATCAAAAGAGTAATAAGGTTTCAGGCCAGGCACAGCAGCGCACACCTGTAATCTCAGCACTTTGGGAGGCTGAAGTTGGTGGATCACCTGAGGTCAGGAGTTCGAGATCAGCCTAGCCAACATGGTAAACTCCGTCTCTACTAAAAATACAAAAATTAGCTGGGTGTGGTCATGGGCGCCTGTAATCCCAGATACTCGGTTGGCAGAGGCAGGAGAATCACCTGAACCCAGGAGGCAGAGGTTGCAGTGAGCCGAGATCACGCACTGCACTCTAGCCTGGGCAACAAGAGCGAAACTCTGTCTTGAACAGACACTTCTCAAAAGAAGACATTTATGCAGCCAAAAAACACATGAAAAAATGCTCATCATCACTGGCCATCAGAGAAATGCAAATCAAAACCACAATGAGATACCATCTCACACCAGTTAGAATGGCAATCATTAAAAAGTCAGGAAACAACAGGTGCTGGAGAGGATGTGGAGAAATAGGAACACTTTTACACTGTTGGTGGGACTGTAAACTAGTTCAACCATTGTGGAAGTCAGTGTGGCGATTCCTCAGGGATCTAGAACTGGAAATACCATTTGACCCAGCCATCCCATTACTGGGTATATAACCAAAGGACTATAAATCATGCTGCTATAAAGACACATGCACACGTCTGTTTATTGCGGCATTATTCACAATAGCAAAGACTTGGAACCAACCCAAATGTCCAACGATGATAGACTGGATTAAGAAAATGTGGCACATATACACCATGGAATACTATTGCAGCCATAAAAATGATGAGTTCATGTCCTTTGTAGGGACATGGATGAAATTGGAAATCATCATTCTCAGTAAACTATCGCAAGAACAAAAAACCAAACACCGCATATTCTCACTCATAGGTGGGAATTGAACAATGAGATCACATGGACACAGGAAGGGGAATATCACACTCTGGGGACTGTTGTGGGGTGCGGGGAGGGGGGAGGGATAGCATCGGGAGATATACCTAATGCTAGATGATGAGTTAGTGGGTGCAGCGCACCAGCATGGCACATGTATACATATGTAACTAACCTGCACATTGTGCACATGTACCCTAAAACTTAAAGTATAAAAAAAAAAAAAAAAAGAGTAGTAAGGTTTCAAAGTAACAATTTAATGATGCACCTCAGGAACTAGAGTAGGAAGAACAAACCAAATGCAAAATTAACAGCAGAAAAGAAATAATACAGATCAGACCAAAAATAAATTAAAACTAAAAAAAATACAACGGATCAATAAAATGAAAAGATAAAACTGATAAACCACTAGCTAGATTAACAAAGACCCAAATAAAAAAAATTAGAAATGAAAAATGAGACATTACAACTGATAACACAGAAATACAAAAGATCATCAGAGACTATTATGAACAACTATACACTAACAAATTGCTTGATCATGGTATATTACCTTTTTGATGTCTGTTGACTTTGGTTTGCTAGAATTTTTGTATCTAACTTCATCAGGGATGTTGGCCTGTAGGTTCCTTTATGTTGTTGTTGTTTTTGCTGTGGCCTTATCTGGTTTTGCTAACAGGGTAATGCTGGCCTTCTAGAATGAGTTACTGAGAATTCTCTCCCTTTAAGTTTTTTGGAATAGTTTGAGGAGGACTGGTGTTATTTCTTCTATCTTTGGTAGAATTCAGCTGTGAATCCTTCTGGGCCTGGGCTTTTCTTGGGTGGGAGACTTTTTATTACTGATTTAATCTCACTACAAACTCACTAATACACCATGATCAAGCAAAATTTACATAAGGCATTCAAGGATGGTTTAACGTATGCAAATCAACAAATGTGATACATAACATCAACAGACTGAAGGACAAAAACCCTATGATCATCTCAATAGATGCAGAAAAAGCATTTGGTAAAATCCAACAACGCTTCATGATAAAAATTCTCAATAAACTAGGCAAAAAAGGAATATACCTCAAAATAACAAAGTTCATACATGACAAACTCACAGGTAACATCATACTGAATGGGGAAAAGTTCAAACCTTTTCCTTCAAGAACTGAAACAAAACAAACATGCCCACTTTTACAAGTCTTATTCAACATGGTACTGGAAGTCCTAGACAGACCAATCAGGTAAGAGAAAAAACAAAATACATCCAAATTGGAAAAGAGGAAGTCAAACTGTCCCTCTCAGCAGATGACATGATCTTTTATTTAGAAGAACCCAAAGCCTCTACCAAAAAATTCTTAGAGCTGATAGCAAATTCAGTAAAGCGCTTTACATTTTTTCAACATATAAAAATTGGTTTCTATATACCATTAATAAAACAGCTGTAAAAAAATCAAGATGGCAATCCCATTTACAACAGCTAGAAAAAATAAAAGATCTAGAAATAAAGCTAACTAAAGTGAAGGATCTCTATAAGGAAAACTACAAAAGACTGATGAAAGAAACTGAAGAGGACACAAACGAATGGAAAGACAACTCATGCTCATGAATCCCAAGAATATTGGTAAAATGTTGGTAACCACTGAATTTTTTCTTTAAAAAAAGGTTGGTAAAATGACTGTGTCGCCTTTTTTTTATTTTTATTTTTTGCATTACTATAAAGAAATACCCAAGACTGGGTAATTTATAAAGAAAAGAGGTTTACTGGCTCAGGTTCTGGAAGCTGTATATGAAGCATAGTACTGGAGTCTGCTCGTCTTATGGTGAGGTCCTCAAGGATGCTTATAATCACAGCAGAACGTGAAGGTGAGCCAGTGAATCACATGGTGAGAGAAGGAGCAAGGGGGCAGGGATGCCATACTTTAAAAAATAACCAGATATCTTGTGAATTCAAAGTGAGAATTCACTTGTTACTGCAAGGAGGATACCAAGCCACTCACGAGGTATCTGTCCCCATGACCCAAACACTTCCCACCAGGCCCCACTTCCGACACTGGGGATTACATTTCAACATGAGATTTAAAGGGGACAAACATCCAAACCATATCAATGACCATACTGTCAAAAGCAATATACAAATTCAATGTAATCCCTATCAAAATATCAATGTCAGTTCTCACAGCAACAGAAAAAACAATCCTAAAGTGTGCATGGAACCAAAAGAGAACTGGAATAGCCAAAGCAAAGTTAAGCAAAACAAACAAACAAATGAACGAAACAAAACAAAAACAAAGCTGAAGGCATTACAGCCTGACTTCAAATTATATTACAAGGCTATATTCGCCAACAGAACAAAGTATTGGTATAAAAATAACCACACATACCAATTGAACAGAATAGATAACCCAGAAATAAATCCACATATTTACAGCCAACTGATGTTTGACAAAGGTGTCAAGAATATACACTGCGGGATGGACACCTCCCTTCACTAAATGATACTGGAAAAACTGGATATCCATATGCAGAAGAATGAATCTGAACCCCTATCTCTCACGTTATATAAAAATCAACTCAAGATAAAGACTTAACTGTAAGACCTGAACCTATAAAACTAGTAGAAGAAAACACAGGAAAAACAATTCAGGACACTGGTCTAGGCAAATAATTTATAGCCAAGACATCAAAAGCACAGACAACAAAAACAAACAAATAAAAAAGGCAAACAAGATACATTAAACTAAAAATAAAAAAGCACAGCAAGCAAAGAAAACAACAGAGTGAAGAGACAACCTCTTGAATGAGAGAAAATATTTGCAAACTATTCATCCAACAGAAGACTAATACTGAAAATAAACAACTCAACAATGAAAAAAAAACATAATCGCATTAAAAAGTGAGCAAAGCACATGAATAGTCAATTCTCAAAAGAAAACTTAAATGGCCAACAGGTATATGAAAAAGTGCTCAACATCCATAATCATCCAGAAAATACAAATTAAATGGGCAATGAGATATCATTCACCCCAGTTGGAATGGCTATTATTAAAGAGAAGAAAAACAACAGATACTGGTGAGGATCTGGAGAAAAGAGAACTTCTATACACTGTTGGTGGGAATGTAAATTAGTACAACCACCATGGAAAACAGTGTGGAGATTTTTCAAAAAACTAAAAATAGAACTACCATATGATCCAGCAATCCCACTACTACGTATTTATCCAAAGGAAAAGAAATCAGTATATCAAAGGGATACCCACACTTGCATGTTTATCACAGCACTATTCACAATTGCAAAGATATGGAATCAATCTAAGTGTCCATCAATAGATGAATGGATAAAGAAAATGCAGCATATACATATAACAGGATACTATTTGGTTATAAAAAATTAAAGTCATTTGCAACAGCATGAATAGAACTGGACATCCTTATATTAAGTGTAATAACTCAGGAACAGAAAAACAAATACATTTTCTCACTCTTATCTGTGAGCTAAAAAACCTGATCTCATGGTGATAGGGAATAGAATGATAGATGCCAGAGGGAGAAAAGCGTGTGAGGAGGAAACAGAGAGGTTGGGTAAATAGTTATAAACTTACAGTTAGATAGAAGAAATAAGTTCTAATGTTCGATAGCAGGCTTGGGTGACTACAGTTAACATCAATATATTATATATTTCAAAATAGCTAGGAGAGAGCTGGGTGCGGTGGCTCATGCCTGTGATCCCAGCACACAGGAAGGCCAAGGCAGGTGGATCACTTGAGGACAGGAGTTCAAGACCAGCCTGGCCAACATGGCGAAACTTTGTCTCTACTAAAAATACAAAAATTAGCTAGGCACAGTGGCACAAGCCTGTAATCCCAGCTACTTGGGTGGCTGAAGCAAGAGAATCACTTGAACTTGGGAGGTGGAGGTTGCAGTGAGCTGAGATCGTGCCACTGCACTCCAGCCTAGGCAACAAAGTGAGACTCTGTCTCAAAACAAACAAACAAGTAAACAAACAAAACAAAAGCTAGGAGAGGACTTGAAATGGTACCAACACACAGAAATGATAAATACTCAAGGTAAGAGATACCCCAAATACCCTGACTTGATCATTACACATTCTATGCATGTAAAAATATTCACATGTACCCCATAAAAATGTGAACTACTATGTATCCATAAAAGCAAAAAGTGATACCTCTAATAAATAAAAAACCGAATTCCTACTATCTGGCTTTAGCTGAAAAATCTAATACATCTTAATAATAATTAACAAATATAAATGTGATTTATGTGAATCACTGTAAAATCCAATTTTGTACGAGTTTTAAAACGGAAAGATAAAAATTTTCAAATTACCAGCATGTAAGTATATCCTCAATAAATACTTTATCATGACTAATCCAGATAGTATTTCATCTAGTAACCACTGACATAAATGTTATTGTTGGAATATACTTTGGCTTCATGAGTATCTCATTTAAGCATCTCTCATAATGAGTGATGTCTCAGATAATGTAATGGAGAGGTCTGACTCAATCTAAAAAGATTATCCCAGATTAAGAGAATATAACAGGCCCATTAAAAAACTACTAGTACAATTCTATAACTTACTGGATCAGCAGTAAGAAATCGATAATAAAAATAGCCAGAAACAAATTATATGACCAGGGTTGTCCAAACTGAAAAAGTGTAACTGTTACTGAGTAATCTTTTCCCAGACATTTCAGTATCATAAACTTCTGACTATATAAAACACAGAATAGGACAGTAGTTAAGACTATGGACTTAGGGCCAGGCACAGTGGCTCACCTGAGACCAGGAGTTCGAGACCAGCCTGTCCAATATGGTGAAACCTTGTCTCTACTAAAAATACAAAAATAAGCCAGGCGTGGTGGTGTGCGCCTGTAGTCCCAGCTACTCAGGAGGCTAAGGCACGAGAATCGCTTCAACTCGGGAGGCAGAAGTTGCCGTGAGCCAAGATCACACCACTGCACTCCAGCCTGGGGGTGACAGAGCAAGACTCAGTCTCCAAAAAAAAAAAAAAAAAAAAAAACTACGGCTGTAGGAGCTAGATTGTTTGGGTTCAACTCCTGGCTTGCCATTTACCAGTTGTGTGACCTCAGGCAAGTTTCTTAACCCTTTTGTGCCCCAATTTTCTCATCTGTCATATAGGGATAACAATATTATAAACTACCTACCTCACAAAAATATTGTGAGAATTAAGTATATGTAAAGCACTTAACAGTGCTTGCATCCATTAAGCATAATTATTAGCTATTATTATTACTATTCAACATTTGCTCTTGTCCCCAATAGATCGAACTGCAGGGTTCAGTCATTGTATATTTTCTTTGTTACATTTTTGCATATTACAAATTCATTACAATTTCTGGAGTCATCCCAATTTTTTAATTATTCATTTGTCTTTTGGCACTTGTCATTTCTAATTCTATTTTCTTTAACATTTTCTGTTTACCTTTCTCATCTTGGAGCAGTTTCCACAGTGATGTATGCAACACAAATGGAGTGGTGTATTGTAAGAAAATATTAGAACTTCTATTTCTATTTATTTTTATCTACAAAAAGAAAGAAATTAATTGCTGCTAATATTTAATATACAGAATAAGCCTGGTATGCCCTCACTTGGTCCATATTTCAGACTGCTTTGTGTCACAAAACAAATTTAACAGAGTAGCAAAGAGTTCAATACTCAAAGGAGCTGACAGTAGAAATGGCATTCCTCACTGGTTTCTTAGGTTATTTTAAGTTACATATGACCACTTCAATGACTTTAAGCCTAATAGTGTCTTTTTTTTGTTTATTTTTTTTTTGTTTTTTTTTTTTTGAGGTGAAGTCTCACTCCATTGCCCAGGCTGGAGTGTGGTGGCGTGATCTCGGTTCACTGCAACCTCTGCCTCCTGGGTTCAAGTGATTCTCCTGCCTCAGCCTCCCCATTAGCTGGGATTACAGGCATGTACCACCACGCTAATTTTTTTATTTTTAGTAGAGATGGGGTTTCACCATGTTGGCCAGGCTGGTCTCAAACTCCTGACCTCAAATGATCCACCCACTTCAGACTCTCAAAGTGCTGGGATTATAGGTACGAGTCACTGCGCCTGGCCAATAGTATCTATTTTTAACTCCTGGCAAAATGGAAAGGCACCAAGCACAGATTTTTCAAGAAAACTGAAACAACAAAAACCTGAGCATGTGATCATAAGGAAATAAGAAATGTGGTGGCACTGTCACTCCTTGCACGCATTCATCTTAGTCCACTATAAAAGTAAAGCCATGAAAATCTAATGATACAAGAAAATGACCCTGAAAACTTTAAATTATTATTAAGACTATTAAAAATAAAGATATACACCCATTACCAACATTAGAACCATGTCTAAATAAATACTGAGTCTTGAGTTATTAGCCTGTGATATTTGAAAACCACTGTGTGATCACAGTATTTTGATCAGAATAGTATGAAATATTGTCTTATCTGTCCATTAAAATTACTTTTACACAAATAATGATAGCGCAATACTATATACATTTAATTCTATTAATAAATATGCATATGCTGCAAAGTATACTTTAATACAATAAACAAACAAGGGTATACACTCAGTCTTGATTACCAAGGGTGGAAGGAAGAAATCTTTTCATGTATTTACTATTTATAAGACATTTAGAAAATAGATGTAGTTCAGAACTAAGAAGGTCTCAAATAATCACCATATAGTTACTTTTTTTTTTTTTTCTTTTTTGAGAGAGAGCATCTCACTCTGTTGCCCAGGCTGGAATGCAGTGGTGGGATCTCAGCTTACTGCAACCTCCACCTCCCAGATTCAAGCGATTCTCCTGCGTCAGCCACTCCAGTAATTGAAATTACAGGCATGTGCCACCACTCCTGGCAAATTTTTGTATTTTTAGTAGAGACAGGGTTTCAGCATATTGGCCTGGCTGTTCTGTGAACTTCTGACCTCGGGTGACCCACCCACCTTGGTCTCCCAAAGTGCTGGGATTACAGGCGTAAGCCACCATGCCTGACCACCACATAGTTACTTCTTAAGCACTCCTCTCGTACGTTAAAAACTATGGCCCTCTGAAAAGGAGCATGGTGAAGAGAGAGGAGGCTTATCACAGGTTTTCACTATTAGGATTATAGTTTAAAAAATGTTTTAGTGGCTGGGAGCGGTGCTCACGCCTGTAATCCCAGCACTTTGGGAGGCCGAGGCAGGTGGATCACGAGGTCAGGAGATCAAGATCATCCTGGCTGACACGGTGAAACCCCGTCTCTACTAAAAATACAAAAAATTAGCCCAGCGTAGCGGCAGGCGCCTGTAGTCCCAGCTACTCAGGAGGCTGAGGCAGGAGAATGGCGTGAACCCAGGAGGCCGAGCTTGCAGTGAGCCGAGATTGCATCATTGCACTCTAGCCTGGGCGACAGAGCCAGACTCCGTCTCAAAAAAAAAAAAAAATGTTTTAGTGATGGGATATACAATTGAAACAATTTAGAGACTTTAACTTGGGACTGGAGATAATTTGAGCTTTCCCCTATCATATCCGTAATATTTCCTTTTCTCAGTTTGTATACTATTTAACCATTTTTATACTTATTAATGATGTTAATCCTTTGATTAAATAAATGCTGAAATGGATAAATTTAGAGAAGTACATACGATTAGACAGGAAAAGAGAAAAAATCTGCAAGGTTAAGTTATCACGGGAGAAGAGCACAATACACAAAAATCACGCAATTTATCAATGTAATGCAAAAGAACAAGCAAGAATTAAAGGCACTAAATGAATATATTAAATGTGTTTTGTTATAAAAATTTCCCTACATAAAAGTCATACTTAAAACATATGAAAACTATGCAATCTGACCTTGGAAACATAACAAAGACTTTACATATGAAGGTGCAATTCCAAAAATGTGGGGAAGAAATATCAATTTGCTTTAGCTTTCTACAGCTAGCTCTATCAAGAGCGAAGTGTATGTATTGACTGAACAGCCCATAGATTGCTCTGGGAAATAATTTATTTTTAAATTAGGTTGACATTACAATCACAAAGCACTGCTATGTGCAGGTTTATAGGTATTTTAAAAAGATTATTAACCAACATTGTAATAATCTGTTTGTAACAAAGAATAGGAACCAAAGTGTACTTCTCAGGCAACAACTTACTTTTAGATCACTTTACTGAAAATCTTAACAGCTTCAAACTAACTCATCTCACCTTTACCTTACTTTGCTGTAATACAATATATTAATTTTAATAAAATTTAAATGATTATTCCTTGAGAATTAGACATTGTTCTAGATTCTTGGGACCCAATGGTTCTTGTCATCAGATCTTTTAGAATATTATAAAATACAATTTAATAAAGCTAACCTCCTCAACTCCCACAAAACCAAATGACATATATAGTCTTTTGAAGAAAAAAATGTAATAAACTTCTTAAAATAAGTTATATTTCACAATATACATGCATTTAAACCAAGTTTCTCGGGTATATACACAGTAACAAAAGGAATAATATCTTCCTCAAGTGACAGAAGATAAAATGGATAGCCTCAAATATCTAGTAAGTATTTTCACTTTAAATACCTTCATATCATAATCAAACTGTGTTACTTTACTATCAAACAAAAAAAAAAAACTAGAATGGTGATTTTAAAAAAGTCTTCTTTGATGAAGCTGATCATCTCAAATATTGCGAGAAAATATATTTAGGTATATGAAATGCCTTTTCAGTAATTTCACTTGCAACGTAACTCATTCTTACTTTTCTTAATAGTTTACTATTCCTTCAACATACCATAATAGTTAACAATATTTACAGGAGTATTTTAAGTATATATTTGGCCAGGCATGGTGGCTCATGTCTGTAATTCGAGCACTTTGGGAGGCTGAGGTGGTTGGATCACCTGAGGTCAGGAGTTCCAGATCAGCCTGGACAACATGGAGAAATCCTGTCTCTACTAGTAATACAAAAATTAGCTGGGCGTGGTGGCACACCCCTGTAATCCCAGCTACTTGGGAGGCTGAGGCATGAGAACTGCTTGAACCGGGGAGGTAGAGGTTAAAGTAAGCTGAGACAATGCCACTGCGCTCCAGTCTGGGCGACAGAGTGAAACTGTGTCTCCAAAAAAAAAAAAAAAAAAAAAAAAAAAAAACCTATATATTTATTTTCCTGAATTTCTCAACTTCTAGTTATTTAATAATCCTAAAACAAAAGTAATGCTTTCTTGTTATATGTGCATTTTCACAGTGTCTTTATTTCTGTTTTTATCTCATTCCATTTTCATACGTGAAGAGTTTTACTAAGTTAATTCTTGGCTTTCTGTTAATTTTCTTTAAACTAGTAGTTCCCAAGCTTTGGTATACATTAGAATCACCTGATGAACTTTCAAAAATCCCAATACCCGGGTCACACACTGTTTGTCTTAACATATGTGTTTGTATGACGTTTTCCAAGTTAAAATTAATAATAATAAAACCCCGTGCCCACTCCCTGTCAAAGAGCAGACCTAGAAAACAACCAATATTTTAGTGCTGAAAGTCAAGAAAAAGAAACACATACCAAAAATAGAAATGTTATTTAAATCAAAAGGCAGATTGTTAAAACTGGAATTAATGGTAGCCTAATACATAATATAAATTCATTTCACCATAAATACAATACAGAAATAAAACTGTGGAAATGTTTCTGCATTTACAATCACTGTAAAACTGCTCAAGAGAATATTTCTGTGAAAATGAGAAAGGTGATTAATTTGTGAAGCCAAGCAAAGAAAACATGTATTCTAAATGAAAATAAGAATACTTTCAAGTAGAGTATCCCAAATAGAAGCTTAACATTCACACACACACACACACACACACACACACACACACACACACACACACCAGGGGTTTGGGAGAATTTCCACGTAAAATAATTTTGGGAAATTCTGGGTTAAATGAAGGTAAGCAGGGCTTTTCTTAATTAGGATGTCTTGGAATCTTAAATAACATAATGTGATTTTATAATCTCTGAGACAGGTATAATATGTGGTCCTGCTTAGAATTCACTGACCTCCAAACTGTTTTCCCCTTAAAGCATTTAATGCAACTAGCATTCCACAAACAGAAAACTGTTGGAGATGCATTTATAAATTTGGGAATTTGAGATGGTCTTCAAAATAAATATCAAGAATCTACTTTTACCTCATATCACTAATTTTCTTAGCCTGCCAGTAATTATTCAATACTCCACACAACATAATCAAATCTCCAAAGATCATTAATTTTGGAATTAGTACCACAGATTATCATATATAATTAAAAAATAGATTTTCAGTTACACTAAACATCAAATCAAAACAAAACCTGAGATAATCAACATATTCATCATGTGAAAGTATAAGTAAGCAATTTGTATGAATATTGGAATGCTATACCTCATCAAATTCTTCAGTCATTTTTCTGATGATTTCTGCATTCTGCATATTTCGAAACATCTCTATTCTCACAGTACCTGTGGAACAACAGATTTTACATTAATCTTTCAATTAATCTTTCAGATCAATTTCCACTCTCTCAAGCATTAACAAGTTATCTGTGAGAATCCCAAAAGAATAACCTTCCAACATATATTTTATATTAAAACATAAAATGTTGTTTGATCAGGCCCTTCTGACAGGACAGTACTCCTAAGAAGGAAAAGGAAGAATTTTGAAATTGCCGTTTTTAACTATAAATAATTCCATAATTAGACATAACATCAGAAATCTACCATAAAGTTCTAGATAGTTTAAATTACGTTAAATTGCTGATAAAAGTATATAATTTGGTACAATCTCTATGGTATGCAGTTTGGTAAATGTCTGCCAAAACTACAAATTTACATACTCTTTGATCCACAGATTGTACCTGTAGCAAAACATCCACTGACTAACACATGTGCAAAGTAATGAATGTAAAAGGTTATCCCTGAAGCACTGTTTGTAATAAAAAAAAAAAAAAAAGGAAAGAAAGCCTATATGCTCATAAAGATCAGATGAAATAAATAAAAAGGTGATATTAATGACGATGGTGGTGGCAGCTAACATTTGGGTGCTTACTATCTCCCAGGCACTTGATGCTTATACATTTAATCTTTACAACAGCCTTATGAAGAATGTACTATTATTTCTGAGACAAGAGGCATCTAGAGGTTTAGCAACTTGCAAAAAAAGTTTCCCGGTATCAGACCCATGGTTTACATGCAGGCAGACTGGCTACTATGATTAACCACTACTCTTTATTGACTCTCAAAGTCAATGGAATCTATCAAAACTATAGATGGAGCTATCAAAAAATAAGCTATCTATGGAAAGATCTATAGGATATATTCAAACACAAAAAAGAATGGATACTGAAATATATTTGATTGAACATACATTAAAATATTTCTAGAAAGATACTCTAGTAAAACTGGTTGCCTCCAAGAAAGAGAAATGGGCAGTTGAGGTTTAGAAAAATAAGGGAGGCTATATTCATACTTTTTGCACTTTAAAAATTTGAACTACATGAATATATTACCCAAACAAAATTATGAATAAATACATTTCAAATAAAAAATAAAATGTAAAAAACTAAACTGAAAGACACTGCTCTTAAACACTATCAGGCATTTGTATAGTCCTTATCAATATGCACTCAGTAGAAGGCAAGAATAAGAATCCTTAACACAAGTTTGCCAGAAATACTGTGTTTTTGTTATCTGCTATCACAGGGCACAAAAGACGGAATATAAGGCTGGAAAACACGCTCTTGTATAAATATCTATATAGACAACAATAAAAACAGACTGTAATTGTAGTTGCAGTGATTACAACATACGTTAGAAGCCTCAGGAAATAAGTCATCCTAGAGTGGCTCAATGTCTTTAGAGTAAGACATAGTAGGGTTTCTCAGCTCCATCAGTTACCGGATATGGGACACTAGAAAAGTCACTTAGTCTCTATGAAACTAGGATTTCTAATCTTTTAAGTGGTGATAATATCACTGCAGAGCAGAGAGCCTTTCTTCAATGTTCTAACTGCTACTGCCTGGAACATTACTTAGCACATGGGAAACATTCAAACAAATAAGGATGATAAGAGAATTAAATGAGATAACAAATGTAAAGTATTTGGCATTGCACCTGTAACATAAAAGATACTCAGTATTAGACTCTCCTACTTTGGGCATTCATTTTTTTTTCTGATACATTATCGTGCCCATTTTGGAAGCAAGCTAAAAGCTCCAGTTCCTAAGTTGAGTTCTACAGGAAGTCAGATTCCTACGTATGCACAGATTCAAATACTGTTTCAAGAGACGAGCTACCTCTTTTATCCCAAAACCAGGGAAAGTAATTCCAGAGGTTTTCCCATCACCTAGACCTATAGCATCCACCTCCAGAGTAGACATATCAGGTCCAACAGCACTAAACACCCTGTTCAAAATGCCTAGTACCTATCATAGGGGTAAGTTAAGACAATGATGAGGTAAATTGTCAGAAAAGTCAAGAAGGACCCAGCAAACTTTCTTATCCTCATATATATGAACCACACAGTTTAGAGAAATGTCTCAACCCTGTCCCTCCTCAGTCATTTTCAATTCTCCTCCTCTATTCTATGATGTCAGCCAGGGCATAAACTCCAAGCCTTCTATACATCCCTCCAACTAGGTACACAAGTACACAGAAGACTGAAAGTAGACAGAACTTTACTCAGCAGCAAAACAATTTATCCAAATATAACACAAGGCTCTTTTAAGTTTATATTAATAATAGCTTTTGGCCATGTGTGGTGGCTTACACCTATAATACCAGCACTTTGGGAGGTTGAGGTGGGCAGACTGCTTAAGATCAAGAGTTTGAGACCAGCCTGGGCAACACGGCGAGACATCATCTCTACTAAAAATACAAAAAAACAGCCGGGTGTGGGTGGCACATGCCTGTAATCTCAGCTACTCAGGAGGCTGAGGCACAAGAATCTCTGGAACCTGGGAGACTGAGGTTGCAGTAAGTTGAGATTGCACCACTGTACTCCAGCCTGGATGACAGAGCAAGACTCAAAAAAAAAAAAAGTTTATAGCTTTTATGACACACCATTCTTGCTTACCTCAAATTACTGAAGTCTAAGTGTGATTGAAATACACTAACATTGTCTAACACACTTAGCAAAAGATCCTTCCAAATAGCAGATGCTTTCTAAGTAATTGCTCCATGTATAAATCATTTTAAAGCTCTTCTTTTACAGAGTGGATTATAGCGCCTTAATAAATAAAATGTAATCTAGTTATGTACTAGAGATAATCCAAGCATATGACAGGATCATTTTTATTGTCATCTAACTTTTTATTTTTTTATTTCTTTTTTTTTGAGATTGTGTCTTGCTCTGTTGTCCAAGATGGAGTGCAATGGCGCGATCTCAGCTCACTGCAACCTCCGCCTCCCGGGTTCAAGTGATTCTCCTGCCTCAGTCTCCTGAGTAGCTGGGATTACAGGCACACGTCACCACGTGTAATTATTCTCTACTAAAAACACAATAAGTTTTGTATTTTTAGTAGAGACAGGGTTTCATCATGTTGGCCAGGCTGGTCTCGAACTCCTGACCTCATGATCCACCCACCTCGGCCTCCCAAACTGCTGGGATTACAGGCGTGAGCCACCGTGCCTGGCCATTTTTAGTTTCATTTTTATATAACCTAGCCTGATAAACAGCAAACTGTAAATCAAGACTAGACATAAATATGGATGGATTGGTAGAAAAAATCTGAGTCAGGATAGGAGAAGAAATGTTGAGTCTACTAAAACTGAGAAGGATTCACTAAACAAATATCAGTATACCAGAAATGTAGAACTTAACAGTTACCTAGTAATGCAGTGACTACATTTAAGAGTCTTTTTCAAGATTTGAGGAGGGGGTCTGGGGAAGAGGTAAAGAAAGAGACACTTTGATACCTTTCAAGCTTAATCGTAAATATCTTGGGATGCATGGGATCTGTCTAAACAGTATGTGCAAAAAGGAAAAAAAAAACCCTCACAAATTATGAATAAAGATACATTTTTGATACTTATAAATTTTTTAGAATGCCTTGAAAACAGAAATTGCTGTGATTACATCTCCAATGATGAGTCTGTCTCTAGATGGCAGCCTTCACTTTATAACAGTCCTTGTGGGGGAGGAAAAAAAACTAATGTATTTTTTCCTTTCTAAATACAAAAGATAAGTAAAACATTAAAGTAAATGTTTTTAAAAATCACGTATTGGCACATAACATGTGAGTACCGGTTAACTAATCTTTCAAGACTGCACAGGATGCAGTCCATCTACACCAAGAACAGAAACTTTACCAAATACTAGAATATCAAATTGTAGAGCTTGTTTGAGCCATGCTAGTATAGCCCAGGGCCAAAAGCAAGCACTATCCTAGCTAGAGCTATAGAACTGTTCAAAGATGTCCAAAGTATTTTCACCATATCTTCAAGAACTATTAAAATAAGTTCATATCAGTGCTAATGTTGTTCACGTAAGACTTAGAAGAAATGACTGTAAGAAAAATAATGTCTGTCTGCCACCTCAGTTCTATTACGACTATTAATAGGATTCAAGATAGGCAGGGTTTCTTGACCTGTGGCACATGGACTCCAAAGTACCTATGAACCATTTTAAAACATACGAAAATTCATGTCTATGTATTTTTGTAGAGAAAGTCCCAAAATTTTCAGGATATTATTAAAGAAAATCGAGAACTCAGGCAAAAATTACACATTAGAGACAAAATGTCAACCAAAAAATTTTAGTCATAGGGAACTAAAGGGAGAAATAAAATGATAACAATAAAAAGTAATTCTAGAGAAGATTGTTACCTTTCATCGCATGGTATGGAAAAGCAAGGAGTAGAAAACAGAGAGTAGAAAAGGCTGAACTCTTCTCCTTTCTAATTAATGAGGCCATGAGTGAAATAATCTGATATAGGGAGAGCCAGGTTTCATTTCTAAATTCAGGGTGAAAAAGCAAAGAGAAGCTGCCCACATTGTATACAAATCCATAAATTATAGAGCAAAAAGTTTTAGCAAGTACCTTGTTTATAGATGACATTGTATAATTGGCTCCAGTTACATAATTTAAGATTTAAATATTTGAGACTACTTAAGATTCTTTAGCAGTTTCTTATCAGACTGCATAAATGATCAAGTCCTGTTTCTTCAACCTGTGCTTCAAAGCTATGTCACTAGGGGTCCCAGATAATCTCAAGTATACTTTGAAGTCTCTCACAACTTTTGTCTGGTGCCACTAAGATTTTCTCAACTCATCTTTTGCCTAGAATACCTATTTTTCATTTTACAAAACTTTTATGTATGTGAGGAAAAGAACTGGTTGGGTTTAGTATTTCAGTCTCAAGGAATTTTTCTTAACTGAATTCCTATAGCATTTTTAAAAAATATGCTTTCTATTTTAGAATAGTTTTAGACTAACAGAAAAGTTACAAAGATAGTATAGAGATCCCATACACATCAGATTCAGTATCCCTTATTGTTAACACCTAACATTAGTATAGTACAACTGTCACAACTAATGAGCCAATACTGATAACATTAATAACTAAAGCCCATACTTTATGCAGACTTCCTTAGTTTTTACCTAGTATCATTTTTGTTCCAGAATACCACCAAAGGTGGTAGCTGTCATGTCTTCTTAGACTCCTCTACACTGTGACACTTTCTCAGACTGTTTATCTCTAGAATGAATTCATTTTGCATTACTGAAACTTGATACACATTATTAGCAATTTCCCACTTCCTGCTTCCCCCTCCCCCTGGCAATCACCCTTCTGCTCTCTCCTTCCATGAGTTAACATACCTCATGTAAGTGTAATCAAGCAGTTATTTGATTGATTTCTGTGTCTTTCTGTGGCTGGCTTATTTCATTTAGCATAATGCCCTCCAGATTCATCCATGGTTGTCACATATTGCAGAATTTTCTTCCTTTTTAAAGCTCAATAATATTCTATTGTATGTATATACTGCATTTTATTTATCCATTCATCCATCCATCCACAGACACTTTTTGGTGTTATTCCCATGAATTCATTGCCAAGACCAATGTCATGAAGCTCTTTTCTCCCTATGTTTTCTTCTAAGAGTCGGTAAGTTTCAGGTCTTACGTTTAATTGTTTAATCCATTTTGAGTTGATTTTTGAGTTAAAGTGTAAGGTAAGGGTCCAAACCAATTTCATTCTTTTGCATGTAGATATCCAGTTTTCCCAAACACCATTTGTTGAAAAGACTATCCTTTCCCTACTGTATATTCTTGACACCCTTGTCAAAGGTAAGTTGTCCATACATACGTGAATTACTTCTGGGCTCTCTATTCTGTTACATTAGTTGCTATGCCTATCTTCATACTAGTGCCAAACTGTTTTGTTTTGTTTTTTTTTTTTGAGACAGGGTCTCACTCTGTCATCCAGGCTGGAGTGCAGTGGTATGATCATGGCTCACTGCAGCCTTGACCTCCCCAGCTCAGGTGGTCCTCCCACCTCACCTCCCAAGTAGCTGGGACTACAAGCAAGCACCACCATGCCCGGGCTAATTTTTGTATTTTTAGTAGAGATAGGGTTTTGCCATGTTGCCCAGGCTGGTCTCAAACTCATGGGCTCAAGTGATTTGCCTGCCTCAGCCTCCCCAAGTGCTGGCATTACGGGTGTGAGCCACTGAACCCAGCTGATGTTTTAACTACTGTACTTTTGTATCGTATTTTGAAGTTTGGAAGTGTGGTGCTTCCAGCTTTGTTCTTCCTTCCTCAGACTGTTTTGGGTATTAAGGGTTCTCTGTGATTCCATATGAAGTTCAGAATTTTTCTATTTCTGCAAAAAATCCCATTGGAATTTTGATAGAAATTTCACTGAATCGGTAAGACCACTTTAGGCAGTATGGACATTTTAACAATATTAAGTCTTCCAATTCATGGATGTCTTTCCATTTGTTTGTGTCTCCTTTAATTTCTTTCATCAATGTTTTGTTGTTTTCAGTGAGTCTTTTACCTCCTAATATGGTTTGGGTCTGTGTCCCCACTCAAATCTCATGTCAAATTGTAATCCCCAATGTTGGAGGTGGGGCCTGGTAGGAGGTGGTTGGATCATGGGGATGGATTTCCCTTTTGGTGTTGTTTTCATGATAGTAGGTGAATTATCATAAGATCTGGTTGTTTCAAAGTGTATAGTACCTCTCCTCCCTCTCTTCCTCCTGCTCTGGCCATGTGAAGATGTGCCTGCTTTCCCTTCTAATTCTGCCATGATTGTACGTTTCCTGAGGCCTTCCTAGCCACGCTTCCTCTACAGCCTGCAAAATCGTAAACATTAAACCTCTTTACTTTATAAATTACTCGGTCTCAGATATTTCTTTACAGCAGTGGAAACGGACTAATAACACCTCTTAAGTTTATTCCCAAGTATTTTATTCTTTCTTATGCTATTGCAAATTGGAATGTTTTCCTAATTTTCTTTCAGAAAGTTCACTTTTAATGTATAGAAATACAACTAAATTTATATGTTGATGTTGCATCCTGTTACTTTGCCGAATTGATTGATGAATTGTAACATTTTTGTGGAATAATCAGTTTTCCTTTTTTTTTTCCCTTGAGACAGAGTTTCACACTTGTCACCCAAGCTGGAGTGCAATGGTATGATCTCGGCTCACTGCAACCTCCGTCTCCCAGGTTCAAGCAATTCTCCTGCCTCAGCCTCCTGAGTAGCTGGGATTACAGGCACCTGCACCATCCTGGCTGATTTTTTGTAGAGACAGGGTTTCACCATGTTGGCCAGGCTGGTCTTGAACTCCTGACCTCAGGTGATCTGCCTGCCTCAGCCTCCCAAAGTGCTGAGATTACAGGCATGAGCCACCATGCCCAGCCTGGTTTTCTATATATAAGATTATGTCATCTGTTAACAGAAACAATTTCACTTCTTCCGTTTTTTTTTTTTTGCTTGCCTAATAGCTCTGGGCAGAACTTCTGGTAATACACAGAATAGAAGTGGTGAGAGTGGGCATCCTCACCTTGTTCCTGATCTTACAGAAAAAGCTTTTAGATTTTCACCATAGAATATGTTAGCAATAAGCTTTGTATATATGGCCATTATTGTGTTCTATTTTCCTCTATTCCTAGTTTGCTGAGTTTTTTCTTTTAACATGAAAAGGGTGCTGGATTTTATAAAACTCTTTGTCTGGTATCTACTGAGATGACCAAGTGATTTTTATCCTTCATTCTGTTAATGTGGCATACCATATTAATTGACTTTCATTTGGTGAATAATATGCTGTTAAATTTGGTTGCTAGTCTTTTGTTTAGGACTTTTTGCATATATACTCATCAGGGATCTATACTGGCCTTTTTCTTTTCGTGGTATCTTTTTTTTGTGATGTCTTTTCTTGGCTTTGGTATAAGAGTAATGCTGCCCACATAAAATGGGTTTACAAGTGTTCCATCCTCATCGATTATTTGGAAAAGACTGAGAACTGGCATTAATTCTTTAAATGTTTGGCGAAAGTCACCAGTGAAGCCAAATGATACTGGGACTTTTCTTTGTTCTCCTAATCCGCCCACTGGTTACAGGTCTGTTCAGCCTTTTTTTTTTTTTTGAGACAGAGTCTCACTCTGTCGCCCAGGCTGGAGTACAGTGGCGCGATCTTGGCTCACCGCAAGCTCTGCCTCCCGGATTCACGCCATTCTCCTGCCTCAGCCTCCCGAGTAGCTGGGATTACAGGCGCCCACCACCATGCCCGGCTAATTTTTTGTATTTTTAGTAGTGACAGGGTTTCACCGTGTTAGCCAGGATGGTCTTGATCTCCTGACCTTGTGATCCACCTGCCTCAGCCTCACAAATTGCTGGAATTACAGGCATGAGCCACTGTGCCTGGCCCAGCTTTTCTTTTTCTCCATAACTCAGTCTTGATAGGTTGTATGTTTCTAGAAATTTAGTCATTTATTCTAGATTATCCAATTTATTGGTGTAGAGTCGTTCCTTGTAGTCTCTTATGATGTTTATTATTTCTGGGACATCATCTTTAAAGTCTCTACTTCCATTTCTAATTTTCACACTTTACTTGTTTTTGATGACCACAAAGGTTTTAAGAAGCAGTGGTCAGGTATTTTATACAATGTCTTTCGATTTGTCTGATGCTTTTCTCACGGTTAGACAGGGTTTATGGATTTTTGGAAGGAAAGTAAAGAGAGAAATTGCCATCTTCATCATATAAAATCAAGTCACTATCGATATGACTAAACACTACTGATTATTAATCATGAACATCTAGATGCAAGTGTTTGTCAGTTTTCTCCTTTGTAAATTACATTTCTCCACCTCCTTCCACACTGTACTCCTTAGAAGTCACTATGCACAGCCCACACTTAATGGGTAAGAAGTTATGTTTCATTTCCTTTAAGATGATTTAGGTATCTACATAAATTTTTTTAACTCCTTTTTTTTTTTTTTTGAGAGAGAGAGAGAGGTTGAGAGAGAGTGAGAGAGAGAGAGAGAGAGAGAGAGAGAGAGAGAGAGAGAGAGAGAGAGAGAGGGAGAGCGAGAGAGCGTGCTCTGTTGCCCAGGCTGGAGTGCAGTGGCACAATCCTGGCTCACTGCAGCCTTGACCTCCCAGAATCAAGCAATCCTCCTACCTCAACCTCTCCCACCTCCCACCTCTGCAAGCTAGGACTATAGGCAGGCATCAATACATCTGGCTAATTTTTTTTTTTTTTTGGCAGGGGGAAGAGGGGAGAGAGATAGGGTTTCTCTGTGTTGCCCAGGCTACTCTAGAACTCCTCAACTGAAGCGATGCCCCCACCTCGGGCTCCCACAGTGCTCAAATTACAGGCATGAGCCAGCCTGCTCTGCCTCTTTTGAATTTCTGAATAGTTCATGTGTCTATTCTCAGTATTTTTTTTTTGAGACAGGATCTTGCTCTGTTGCCCAGGCTGAAGTGCAGTGGCAAAATCATGGCTCACTGCAGCCTCAACCTCTTGGCCACCTCCCACCCAGCCTCCCAAGCACCTGGGACTACAGGCACACACCTGGCTAATTTTTCTATTTTTGTAGAGACAGGGTCTTACTATGTTGTCCAGGCTGGTCTTAAACTCCTGGGCTCAACTGATCCTCCTGCCTTGGCCTCCCAAAGTGTTGGGATTACAGACGTGAGCCACTGTGCCTGGCCTACTTGAGAGAAAGACATGAGAGAGAGACACTGAGAGAGAGAGAGGCTGAAATTGAAAAATATTAAGGCAAAATACTTCATATTCCAATCTCTTATTTTATAATTTTTATCCTGTTCTCTGCATACCCAACAGGTTTTCTTTAAGTGTAAACCCATCAGGATTACTTGTGGTTTCTTTGTACACTCTACCTAAAACAGTACCTGCACGTCAGCCTACATTTGAAAGCTTTTTCAAAACCATGACAATAATAAGCAATTGAAATCTTCAAGTAGGCCCAAGAAAATCAAAACCTATGAAAGCAGAAATTACATTACAACAATATACAAAGTAAATATGCAAATTATGCCAAAAGCATCAAAGTTTCAAAATTATTCATTTCCACAAAAAATTTTTTTGAAAAATTTCAGCATTAGAAGTTACATTTACACACACATATACATATCATCTGAGGGAGAAATCACTTTACATTTATATATACAAGTTCAGTTTATAATGATATTGTAAACAATATTATTTATACAAATCCTTTCCCTCAAATGCTAAATAAAATATAAACAGCATTTTGAAAGCATCTGAAGCCATATGAAGCAGGAAGATATTAGGAGGACAATAAATAAAAGCAGAAATTCAATATATAGAAGCAATGCTGAAATCACTTTTTCTATGATGACCCTTGCTAAGCCTATTTGCTTCAGTTGGGCGATATGAGGTAGAGGGTCTAGAAGAAATAACTCTATAAAGTGGGGCCTCAAAGGATTACATCTTCAGGTTAAGGCTAAACCAGGGGTCAATTTATCACCTCATACTCTGGGGAAAATAAAGTTTTTCTGGTACTGCAAAGAGGGAGATAAATGTATCTAAGAAGTTATAATCAAAAACTGGTGTTCTAACAAATAACTGAAAGAAAATCTCAAACTCTCTATTCAATTACAAATGGTCCTAGATTGGTAGCGCCCCTGGACACCTGCAAAGCAAATGCTAAATCCTCTCTTAGAGAAATGTAACTTAATCCTAGGATTCAAATAAATTTGAGAGTAAATAAGGAACTTGGAACAAAAAGCAACAAAATACACCAAGAAGAAAGACAACATGCAAAAAACAAGCAAAAACAAGACCACAGAAACAGGCTCACAAAGACTTAAAATACTAGAATTATCAGATAGAGATTAGAAAAGAAATAAACTTACCATGTTAAAAAATAAAAATACAAGTTTGAATATCCACAGGGGAACAATTCCATGGACCAAGTAGTTATAATTTACAGAAATGAACAATACACTAACTGAAATAAGGCTTAAGGGATTGGCATAGATAAAAAGAGTAAAAGAACTCGAATTTGGGGGGGATATTATTCAGAAAGCTGCACAGAAATTCAAAAATATGGAAAGATACACAGAAGAGAGTATAACAAATTTACACAAAGTTCCTGAAGGAGAAGATAAATAAAATGGAAAGAAAATTTAAAGAGATAACAATTAAGAAATTTTAGAATGAATGAAAAACAATACTCCCTGCCCCTGTCAAAATATATTCTACGCCTACAGCAAAACATAATGAAACTCAGAAAACCAGAAATAAAGAGCAAAAATTAAATTTTGGGCCGGGTGTGGTGGCTCATGCCTGTAATCCCAGCACTTTGGGAGGCCAAGGCAGGTGGGTCACAAGGTCAAGAGATCAAGACCATCCTGGCCAACATGGTGAAACCTTGTCTCTACTAAAATACAAAAAATTAGCCGGGTGTGGTGGTGTGCGCCTGTAGTCCCAGTTACTCAGGAGGCTGAGGCAGGGGAATCGCTTGAACCCAGGAGGCAGAGATTGCCGTGAGCCAAGATCGCGCCACTGCGCTCCAGCCTGGCAAGAGAGCGAGACTCCATCTCAAAACAAAAAGTTCAAAGAAGTAGAGAAAAGAAAGACAAATTCTTTGGTATTCAAGTAATTTAAAGACCAGAAAGAAGAGAAAAAGAAAACATAGAACAGGAGGGGCAAAGAACAACCACTGGTTCAATATAAAACTAATTACAGTGATTGTATTAAATGCAAAAGGGACTAAATGGTGCAACTAAAAGACAGACTGAATTAAAAAAATACGATCCAGCTGTAAGTTGTAACAAGCGGCATCTAAAAGATACTGGAACAATAAAAGGAAAAAAAAATAGAACACTAGAAAAACATGAAAAGTGGTAGGTTTCATTAATATTCAAATGAAACAGACTTTTAGAGAAAAAAAAGTATTGCCGGAGATAAAGAGGAACATTAAATATAAAATATTGAGTTATAAAAAAGCTGGATGTCTGTATACATCTAATAACATATCAGGGAGTGGAGAGAGAGACAGACACAAGAGGGAGGGTAAGGAAGGGGAAAGGCAGTTAAGAAGAAATCAAGGAAAAATACATAAATCTACAACCATGATGTGGGATTTTAACATACACCCCTCTCAGTAATCATCAGAACAAGCACAATAAATTAGAAGGATATAAAATATTTTAACAAAATTATTGAGCTAACAATGGACATACTACACCTAAAAAATGCATAATACGCATGAGTTTTAAGGGCACATGAAACATTAGCAAAAGCTGACCATACAACCTTGAGACAAGTCTACAATTACAGACCATTTCCTTTTGCCTCAAATTCAAGGAAGCTAAAGAAGAAAACAATACAAAAAGTTAACCAGAAAACTCTCATGCTTGAAAATTTAAAAATATGCTTCTGAACAGGCACAGTGGCTCATGCCTGTAATCCCAGCATATTGTGAGGTTGAGAGGGGAGGACTGCTTGAGTCCAGGAGTTCAAAAGTAGCCAGGGCAACATAGCAACCTTGTCTCTAAAAAAGAAAAAAGAAAAATCAGCTGGTGTGGTGGCACACACTTGTGGTCCCAGCTACTTGGGAAGCTGAGGTGGGAGGATCATTTCTGCCCAGGAGTTCAGGCTGCAGTATGCTGTGATCACATGACTCCACTCCAGCCTGGGTGAGAACCCGTCTCAAAAAATAACCGAAAAAATAAAACAAAACAAAAGCCATTAAAACAAAGAAGAACAAATATGCTTCTAAATAATCCATGTGTCAAGAAAAAGCTATAATTAGGAATTAGAAAACACTTAAAATTAATGAAAAGGGACATCAGTAATTCACAACTATATATATACATATATGCACACACGCACTCAGGCACACACACACACTATTTATATATTTATAATATATATATTATAAATATATAAATAACATATATGGAATATTATAAACAACTTTATAAATTTTAAAATTTAGATAAAATGGAGAGTTTCCTAGAAAAATCTGGTTTATCAAAATAATAAAAACACCAGAAGCTGGGCATGGTCTTGCATGCCTGTAGTCCTAGCTACCTGGGAGGCTGAGGCAGGAGAATCTCTTGAAGTCCTGAGTTCAAGACCAGCCTGGGAAACATAGCGAGTCTCTAAATAATAATAATAATAAAATACCTCAATAGTGCTAAATGAGTTTTTAAAAAGTGAATCACGACTGGGCACAGTGGCTCAAGCCTGTAATCCCAGCACTTTGGGAGGCTAAGGCAAGCAGATCACTGGAGGTCAGGAGTTTGAGACCAGCCTGGCCAATATGGTGAAACCCTATCTCTACTAAAAATACAAAAACAGCTGGGCATGGTGGCTCACACCTGTAATTCTAGCTACATAGGAGGCTGAGGTAGTAGAATCCGCTTGAACCCAGGAGGCGGGGGTTGCAGTGAGCCGTGTTTGTGGCACTGTACTCCAGCCTGGGCTACAGAGCTAGACTCTGTCTCAATCAATCAATCAATCAATCAGTCAATCAATCAATCAAGTATACAATTTAATAGTTAAAAAAAAAAATCAGTAGCTTGAAATCATCCAACAAAAATCTTCAGGGTCCAGATGCCTTGAATTCTACCAAACATTCTGGAAAGAAATAATTCCAAAAAAAAAACAGAAAAAGAAGGTATTGTTTGCAATTCATTTTGTGAAATTAGCAAAGTTTTCATAACAAAACCCAAAATGGAAAGAATGAAAGGGGAAAAGGACAGGCAATCTCACTGATACAGATATAAAAACCCTAAGCAAGATACTAGCAAACCAAACCTAGCAATAATTTAAAAATATATCATGACCAAGTTGAATTCGTTCTAGGAATGCATATTAAATTTTACATTAAAATATCAGTGGTAGACATGCTTTTCTGTAAACCTAAAACTGCTCTAAAAAAATAAACTCTATTTTTAAAAAACCATTACTTATAATGAAATTTTTAAATGCTGAAAGTTCAGAAATAAATTTAATAACGGACGTATAAGACCTTTTCACACATACATCCCCTTCAAAAAATCCTCTAAAATACTTGGCAGAGGGGATGAATATATGCAGAAATAAACACAATGATCACAAACTGAAAGATTCTATTTTATCAAAATGTAAATTCATCCCCACTGATATACAGCAGCAGTTGTTCAAGTAGGAATGGGGTTCTACTGACATTTAGTGGGTAGAGGCCAGAGATGCTGCTAAATGTCCTACAATGAAAGAATGCTTCCCACGACAAAGACTTTCCAGTCCAAAAACTCAATAGTGTCAAGATTGAGAAATGCTAACATACATACAGATTCAATATAATTCCATTTAAAACTCCGACGAGTTTGCTGATAGAACTTGACATTCGTTTTTTTTTTGTTTGTTTGTTTGTTTTTTTGAGACAGGTTCTCACTCTGTCACTCAGGCAGGAGTACAATGGTGTGACCACAGTTCACTGCAATCTTCACCTCCTGGGCTCAAGCGATCCTCTCACCTCAGCCTCCCAAGTAACTGAGACTACAGGCACACACCACCACGCCCCACTAATTCCTGCATTTTTTGTAGAGGCAGGGTTTTACCATGTTGCCCAGGCTGGACACCAATCCCTGGGCTCAAGAGATTCACCCACCTCAACCTCCCAAAGTGTTGGGATTACAGGTACGAGCCACTGTGCTTGGCCCACAAACCAGTTTCTAAAATATATACAAAAATACAAAAGCCAGTAAGTTTCTAGTCAAGAAATTTTTTGACCAGGAGCAATGGCCGACGCCTGTAATCCCAGCACTTTGGGAGGCTGAGGTGGGCAGAACTCTTGAATCCAGGGGTTCAAGACCAGCTTGGGCAGCATGTTGAAACCCTGACTCTGCAAAAATCCCAAACAATTAGCCAGGTGTAGTGGTGGTGCGTGCCTGTAGTCTCAGACACTTGGGAAGCTAAAGTGGGAGGATCACCTAAGCCCAGGGAGGTTGAGGCTGCAGTGAGTCAAGATCGCACCACTGCACTCCAGCCTGGGTTACAGGGTGAGACACCATTTTAAAAAAAGAAAAGAAAAGAAAGTTAGCTTTCCATCTAAGAGACCAATTAGCAGAATAGAGAACCCAGAAAAAGACTCTCCTGTAAAGGGTTACTTGATATATGCTAATGGGGTCATTGTACAATCAAGAAAAACTGAAGGACTTTTCACACTTAAAAAACTGAAGTCTAGATGACGTAAAAACCTAAATTTGAAGGACTAACCTATACATAACTAACTAAACTTCACATAAACTAGAAAGCTTTTATAAGAAAACAGGAGAGTATCTTCATGACCACGGTGTAAATAATTTTTTAATTTTTATTTTCACTTATTTATTTTTTTGAGATGGAGTCACACTCTGTTGCCCAGGCTGGGGTGCAGTGGTGTGAGCTCGGCTCACCGTAACCTCCGCCTCCCAGGTTCAAGCAATTCTCCTGCCTCAGCCTCCTGAGTAGCTGGGATTACAAGTGCCCACCACCATGCCCAATTTTTTTATTTTTAGTAGAAACAGTGTTTCACCATGTTGGCCAGGCCAGTCTTGAACACCTGACCTCAAGTGATCCGCCTGCCTCAGCCTCCCAAAGTGCTATTACTGCAGGCAAAAGCCACAGGGCCTGGTCAATAATTTCTTAAATATGACACAAAAAGCCCATAAAAGAAAAGACAAATAAATTTGGTTACACTTAAAAATTTAAAACTCATGTTCATTCATTCTTTCAATAAATAATTATAGGTGCTAGAGATACAAAGAGAACAAAGACAGACAAAAATCCCTTCCTTCAAAGGATAATGTATCAAAATAAAAGAGAAAAAGCAGGCTGCAAGATGGAAGAAGAAAGCTGCAATATACATAACAAAGGAGATTAGTATTAACACTTTTTTAAAAATCTTGGCCAGGTGCGGTGGCTCATGCCTGTAATCCCAGCACTTTGAGAGCCCAAGGTGGGCAGGTCACCTGAGGTCGGGAGTTTGAGACCGGCCTGGCCAACAGGGAGAAACCCCATCTCTACTAAAAATACAAAAATTAGCCAGGCGTGGTGGCACATGCCTGTAATCCCAGCTACTAGGGGGGCTGAAACAGGAGAATCACTTCAACCTGGGAGGTGGAGGTTGCAGTGAGCCAAGATTGCACCGCTGCACTCCAGCCTGGGAAACAGAGTAAAACTTATGTCTCAAATAAAATAAAATAAAAATCTTACAAAACAATAAAGGACAAAAGGTAACATCGCAATACAGTAATTTGTAGAAGACTTTACACAGTTCATGCAAGAGAAAATTCTCATGGTTAACTGTTATGTGAAAAAGTAGTCCATCTCAATAGTACTCAAAGAAATATAAATTAAAACCACAATCTGATATTTGTAATCCTACTCAACAACATAAAACTAAAAATACTGGCAATACTATCTATGAGCAAAATATGTGAAGCCATCAGAATTCTGTGACATCACCTGACTAAAGCATGAAAAGTTACAACTACTTCAGAGAAATTTGACATCATCCAGAAAAGTTGCATATCTTATAACCCAGCAATTCCACCCCTCAGTACGCAAACTAGAGCATTTTGTGCATGAATACCAAATTAATATGTGCAAAAGATAGCTTTTAGTAACCACTGTCTACATTACCCAAAAATTTCCTTCAAGAATGGGAAATATAAATTAACTGGTATATTCATATAAGGTATACTTTACAGTAGTTCTCAAAATGGGGTAATTTTGCTTCCCAAAATTGAACACTGGGAAACTTTTGCAGACATTTTTGCTTGTTACAACTGGAGGAGAGGGAGAAAGAAATGTGCTACTGGCATCTAACAGGTAGAGGCCAAAGGCACTTTATATTCAGTCTTTTGTATATATAAGATGTCACAATTTAAAAGGATTTAAGAAAGATAACACTGAACTACCTATCTATCTATCTATCTATCTATCTATCTATCTATCTATATACGTACACACTGTACAGGTGAGGAGATAAGAATTCATTAAAATAGATTGCTAAAGAGAATACTGATTAATATATAATAAAGCCATATAAGCACTTGTTAGTTTCTATCCCCCAGATGCAGATACTAAAACAAGGATGCCAGTGCAAGTAATTTATTTAGAAGGACAACCCACAAAATACCAGTAATGCAGTAGAGACATGAAACAAGAAAAAGAAAAATAACAATTAAAAAAAAGCAGACAATAAAGAGTATGTTATCTAGCCAATTACAATTGTAGGTAACTGGAGCCTAATTAAGCTCCTTGAGAAACTGCAGTCAGAGTAGGCCATGCCCTTCAAAATGATCCCACTGATAGGCAAAGGAATTGGGGTATTTATACACTAACTCCCGGTCAGTCACTTGTTAAAGCCATGGTGCCCAAACTGTGCACTGAGATGTCCTGAGGGACTCACACAAAATGATATGGGTAATGTGGATATTTTAAATATTCAAAGGAAAACAATACAATATTTGATATTTGTCAAGTACCACAGGAACTATTAGCATGAGGCAACTTGCAATCTCAACATCTGGTCCTTTATTCCTGTTGATAATGCCCTATCTTTGAGAGGCTGAGTTTCAACAAGGGCTATCAAAAAACCAATATAAAACAGGAAATGAAGATAATTTCAAAATGTGAGAAGCTATACAATGCCCAACACATCTGTACACACATTAGTAAGTAACTGCAGTTATTTGAGACATGAATACAATTTTTTTCAATTATGTATGTCATTTTCTAAATGGCTACTAAGTTGTGAGGACCTAAATAAATAGTTTGGACATAACAACTTCCTGAAAAGAATGTTAGGTATTTCTTTTGGCTTACAGGTGCCATGAAAAAATCACTGAGATGCTAATTAGCCAGCGAACTGGGTTAAGTTCAGGAACTCTTAGATTAAGTGCTCCTAGGTGATTAATTCTCTGGCAATTCTGCACTCCTAGAAAGCCCTGAGGCATCCGGAACTTCTCTGTTAGGCACAAACAGAGCAAAATAGAAACATTCCTTGTTATATTCAACTAAGAAAGAAGGTTGCTTTTAACCACCAACTTTCAAGTTTGATCAACAACCCTTATTAAAAATAGGCACATCTGTCAATGAAAACTACTTATCAAAAACCATATATTTCTGAAATTAGTTATGTTTAAGTACATACCAAAGTAAATATGTACGTGTATCAACAAGGTATACTTTGAATATATGGAGAACATATCTTCATTTTGCTATGCATAATTCCCTGAATACATGCTATAATTCTGTGTTCTTAGTTCTCTCATAACTTATTCCAATAAACACTTATGAATTTACATAGCTTTAGAATGCAACTCTAAGTCAACAGTGTTTAAATCAACTTTACCTTTGCATTTTTCCCACTTCATTGATACTGAATATATCTATTACTACTACATATTGAGTTAGCCAATTCTGAGGTTTCCAATGGTAAACAGAATTCACTCCAGCTGGTTCAAATGAAGAGACTACAGACGTTTCAGCAGAGTTAGAAAAACAACTATGGGTGCTAATGCAACTTGAGATAGCTAAATTAGAAAACCAATACTGCACCTTAGGGCTTGGCTCAAGAGCCAAGATGAGAAAATAGTGATAATAGGGATACTGGAGCCAATGAAGGAGGAGTTGTTCATACTATTCACTCATGAGAAGATGTTTCACTTTGTTCTGTCATTGTTGGTGATACCACTTCTAGCCGGGAACTTGGGTGGGGACGGGGCGAATTGTGATTTTTTTTTTTCCTGCCTTTCCTTGCTCTCTTCCCACTTCAGGTCAATTTTTAAAACACTCTTTTGGTCCTTGGTTCTTACGCAGCTTTAGGGGAAAATGGGCTCACACAGTAAAATGCCAATCTAGATTTTGGATATTAATGTGCAAGACAAGGAGTCCTTATAAAATGCAAATCTTATCTCAACATATATTAGAGATAGCAGCCTTTGTAATACAAAAAAATTTCCCCCACTTGTCCCTTGTCGTTTGACTTTCCCTATAATGTGTCTCCATCTTACAAATTTTTTGTTTTCTTATGTCATTTATGAGTCTTTGCTAACTTATAGATTTTGAGTCAGTTAATTGTGAGTCAGTTAATAAAAAGGTCTTCCCCACTCCGTGGTTATAAAGGAATTCTTAGTTTTCATTGAGTGCTTTTACTATTTTTCTTTGTATTTGTTGTTTGTTTTTGCCCTTAAACTCTTGATGCACTGGAAATTTATCCTGGTTTACACCATCACAGTGAAATGTAAATCTGAAAGAATTTTCCCCCTCACTTTTGTCTTGAAAAGGAGGTCTTTAAATCTTCTAACTGGCTGTAGGATAGTAATTTTTCTCTATAAATTCTGTATCTCAATATATTATGGAATTATTTTATTGCTTATAATAGTTTTGCAAACTGATTCTCCTGAGTTTTCTAAACATGCTATATTATTTTGAATAACATCATTTTAAAAACAGTGATCATAATTACTTTTTATTGTCCAAATGTGTTGGCTTGCATATCCAATATAATGTTAAATAAGAATTGTGAGGCTGGGTATCCTTGTCTTGACAGTGACAATGACTACTGATTTCCCTTGAGCATGACGCTGGCTTTGGGGTTAAAACATTTTTTTTTTTTTTCATTTTTGTACTTTGACATAATTTTAGATTTACAGAAAAGACAGCAAAGTACAAAGAACTTCTGAATACCTTCCACCCAAATTCTTCAGATGTAAACATTTACATCCGTTTTATCCTTCTTTCACTCTTCATATACAGATGCATTTGTTCTGAATAAGTGTTTAGCTACAGACATGATATTCCTTTACTCTTTAATATTTCAGTGTGTATTTCCCCCAAATAAACCTATTATACAACCACAGTATAGTACAATGTTCCAAAGCATAAGATATAACAATTGATACTACATGTATGTTCTAATCCACAGAACTAATTAAGATTTCACGTGTCTCAATAACGTCCTTTATGCCAAAAGAAATTCTAAGATCATGCACTGCAGCCACCTGTCACATTTCTTCAGTCTACTTTAAACAGTTTCTGAGTCATTTCTTTTTCTTTTTTTTTTTTAGACAGAGTTTCGCTCCTGTTGCCCAGCCTGGAGTGCAATGGTGTAATCTCAGCTCACTGCAACCTCCGCCTCCTGGGCTCACGCGATTCTCCTGCCTCAGCCTCCCAAGCAGCTGGGATTACGGGCACCCACCACCACGCCCGGCTAATTTTTGTATTTTTAGTAGAGACGGGGTTTCACCACATTGACCAGGCTGGTCTTGAACTCCTGACCTCAGGAAATCTGCCCAAAGAAATTCTAAGATCATGCACTGCAGCCACCTGTCATGTTTCTTTACTCTACTTTAAGCTAGAACAGTTTGAGTCATTTCTTTTTTTCTTTTTTTGAGACAGAGTTTTGCTCCTGTTGCCCAGGCAGGAGTGCAATGGTGTGATCTTGGCTCATTGCAACCTCTGTCTCCTGGGTTCAAGTGATTCTCCTGCCTCAGCCTCCCAAGTAGCTGGGATTGCAGGCGCCTATCACCATGCCCAGCTAATTTTTGTATTCTTAGTAGAGATGGGGTTTCACTACACTGGCCAGGCTGGTCTTGAACTCCTGACCTCAGGTGATCTGCCCGCCTCAGCCTCCCAAAGTGCTGGGATTACAGGTGTGAGTCACGACGCCCAGCATTTCTGACTATTTCATGACACTGACTTTTTTGCAGAGTACAGGATAGTTGTTTTGAAGAATATAACTCAATTCAAGCTTGTCTTATGTTTCTTCATGAGTAGATTCAGACTATGCACTTCTGGCAAGAATATCACAGAAGTGATGTTGAGTTCTTCTAAGGGCATATCAGAAAGCACATGATAGCAATTAGCTCCGTAACTTGCAATGTTTGCTTTTATCATTTGTTAAGGTGCTATCTATCAAGTTTCTACATTGCAAAGTTTCTATTTTACCCTGTAAATAGTAGATATCTTGAAAGGAGACATTTTGAGACTGGGTAAATATTGTGCTCTTCATCAAACTTCTCCCCGACCCCACTAGTTTCACAGCCCACTTACTGAGTTCCCAAGTTACGTTGGTTAGTAATTTTACACCTTTCAGTGTGGTTGTTATTATGGTGTAAAGGTTATTTGTTCTGTTTGTATTCATTTTTAGGATATTCTCCCTCCATCTTTGTTGATTTTGTTTTCTTGGGGATTTGAAATATTAAGATAGCTCCAAAAGTCAGGACTATTCAAAAACTATAAAACTATATTCAAATTCAGTATCATTCCCTCACCTCAATTCCCTCTAAACTTTCCGACACACACACACGCACGCACGCACAAACTCTCTCTCTCTCTCTCTCGCTCTTTAGGTAACCAATCTCGTTACCGTCAGGTTTTTCTTTCCTGTATTTCTTTTTGGTGAAATGAACCCTTATATTCCCTTCTTTCTTACAAAAAAAAAAAAAAAACAACAACAACAAAGTTGCATACTGTAGATATTATTCTGCAATTTGTATTTTGCCCTAAAAACATATCCAGAGAAAGGCCGGGCACGGTGGCTCATGCCTGTAATCCCAGCACTTTAGGAGGCCAAGGCGGGTGGATCATGAGGTCAGGAGTTCAAGACCAGCCTGATCAACACGGTGAAACCCCATCTCTACTAAAAATACAAAAAAACTTTAGCTGGGCATGGTGGTGCGTGTCTGTAATCCCAGCTACTCGGGAGGCTGAGGCAGGAGAACTGCTTGAACCCAGGCGGCGGAGGTTGCAGTGAGCCGAGATCGCACCACCGCACTCCAGCCTGGGTGACAGAATAAGACTGTCTCGAAAAAAAAAATACAGGGAAAATCCCTACTTCCATTCACAGACATCTTCCTCATTCTTTTTTACAGTAGCACAAAACTCCAACATGTGGCTATCCTATAGTTCATTCAATCACTGTCTTATATATGAACATTTGGATTGTTTCCAATATTTTCCAGTAACAAATAATGTTGCATTAATTTTGTGTACCTATTTTCTTACTGCTGAAGGTATATATTCAAGGTAAAATCCCAGAAGTAGGATGGTTGAGTCAACAGAT
Source organism: Homo sapiens (assembly GCF_000001405.40). Taxonomy (NCBI): domain Eukaryota; kingdom Metazoa; phylum Chordata; class Mammalia; order Primates; family Hominidae; genus Homo; species Homo sapiens. Next base: position 136,564,278 of record NC_000003.12, read on the forward strand.
AAGACATAAATATAGATTTGGTAGATATTCCTGGATACCTTTACAAAAGAGTTTATCAATTTGTATTCTAACCAACAATGTAACAGTGTCTGCTTTCCCCCGCCACAGCCTGAACAACAGAATGTTGTTATGATTTTAAACTTGTGCCAATCTGATAGGTAAAAAGAAATGGTAACTAAGTATAGTTTTAATTAGTAAATCCCTTTTGTAATAAGTAAAAAATGTTTTCTTTTCATATGTTCTAAGATATGTTTACTAATGTCTCATAGGTACTTAGGTCTATGTCAGGATTTTTATTATATTCTACTGATGTAAAAGACAGTGTGCTTTCTTTATAAATCATATTAAGAAAATATGCTTCTATGCCCCTTCAACAAAAATGTTTTAAGACCCATTTTGTCAAATGTCTTTTCAGGAACTGTAAAGGTAGTCAAAAGAAAAATGGGCAAAGGATAGGAACAAAGAATTCAAAGAAAAAACAGTAATGGTTCTCAACCCTCATTCATTAGAGAAATACAAATTAAAACCAACCCATACACAAAAATTAACCATGGATTAACAGCCTAAATATAAAATATAAAATCCAGCCTCCAGATTTGTGAGCAATCGCCATTAGAAGGAAACATAGAGGTAAATCTTCATGACCTTGAATTTGGCAATGGATCCTTAAATTTGACATGTGTATGAGGAAGGAAGGAAGGAAGGAAGGAAGGAAGGAAGGAAGGAAGGAAGGAAGGCAGGCAGGCAGGCAGGCAGGCAGGCAGAAGGGAGGGAGGGAGGGAGGGAGGGAGGGAGGGAGGGAGGGAGGGAGGGAGGAAAGGAAAGAGAAAGAGAGAGAAAGAAAGGAAAGAGAAAGGGAAGAGAAAGGAAAGAGAAGGGAAAGGGAAAGGAAAGGAAAGGAAGAGAAATCAGACTTAATAAAATGTAAACCTATTGTGCACCAAAAAACATCATTAAGAAAGTTAAAAAGACAACCTAGAGAGCGGACAAAAATAGCTGAAGTTAAATACTTGATAAAGGTTTGGTATCCACAATATATACAACTCATCAACAAAAAGACACATAATCTAATTTTAAAATGAGCAAAGGACTTGAATGTATATTTCTTCAAAGAAAATACAGACATGTCCAACAAGCACATGAAAAGAAGTTCAAGATCATTAGGCATTAAGTGCACACAAATTAAAACCACAGTTAGATACCACTTTATACCCAGTAGGATGGCTATAATTTTTAAAACTATAAAATAACAAGTGTTGTTGAGGATGTAGAAAAATAGGAATCCTCATACATTTCTGGTGGGAATATAAGATGGTGCAGCCACTGTGGAAAACAGTTTGGTGGTTCCTCAAAAAGTTTAAATGGAATTATTATACGACCTAGCAATTCTACTCCTAAGAATTTACACCTCAAAGACTCAAAAACGGCACTCAAACAAGTATTTGTTCACGAATGTTCAAAGTTGCCATATTCACAATAGTCAAAAGGTGGAAACAACTCAAATGTCCTTCAACAGATGAATGGATAAACAAACAGTGATATATACATACGATGGATTATTATTCAGCCCTAAACGAAATGAACTACTGATGCATGCTACAACTTAAATGAACCTCAAAAACATGGTAAGTGAAAGAAGTCACACACAGAAGGTGACATATGGTGTGGTTCCTTTTATATAAGATGACCAGGACTGGCAAATCCTCAGGGACAGAAAGTAGATTCATGATTGCCAGTGATGGGGGAGAAAAGAACAAATAGTGATTACCTAACAGGTATAGGGTATTTTCCTGGGGAGATTTTTAAAGTTTTGAGAAAAGAGAGAGGTGGTAACTGCTACAATGGATTGAATGTTTGTGTCCTCCCAAAATTCCTATATTAAAATCCTAACCCCCAAAGTGATGGTATTAGAAGGTGGGACCTTTGGGATGCAATTAGGTGATGAGTGGGACCCTCATGAATGAGATTAGTGCCGTTATAAAGGGGACTCCAGAAAACGCTCTCAACCCTCTTTTTGCCATGTAAGGGTACAACTAGAAGTTAGTATTCTGCAATGTGGAAGAGGGCCCTCACAAGAACCAGACGATATTGAGACCCTGATCTCAGACTTCCAGCCTCCAGACTTGTGAGAAATAAATTTCTATTATTTGTAAGCCACCCAGTCTATGGTATTGTTACAGCAACCCAAAGTAAGGCAGCTGCACATTTATGAATGCCCTAAATGCTACTGAATTGGTACACTTTAAAATGCTTACTTGTATATTACGTGAACTTCAAAGCACTTTTAAAAATCAGACTGAAATATTATCTTCAAATCATTCTGAAGACTAATCCAAAATCTTAATACACTTTGTTGAAAAGGCTAAGAAAAAAAAGACATTTTAATATATCACTGATGAGAGTATAGAAGAGTACAATTCCTATAGCTGACGATTTGGCAGTATCTAATATAATAACAAATGCATTTACCTACAGACATTCTTTATAAAGACCAAATAAGGTATACATAAAATTACTCATTACAGTACTCTCTGTAACAGCAAAAGACTACAAATAACACACTGGTCTTTTAATAGAAGTCTAGTTAAATAAATTATTGTACATATACACAAAGGAATGCAATGAGCCTGTGTTTTTAAAAATGAAGGAGAAAGGTCTCTATACACTATTATCTTTTGTGTACGACAGGTGAGGTGGAGAAGGAAAGAATATACATTCCTACCCTATAGGTATGAAAATTAGATAGATGGACAGACAGTTAAGTTCAACAAACTAGTTAAGAGCAGTTAACTATGTGTAGATGGATGGGAAGACAGAAAGGCAAAGACTTCTTATTATACAACTTTTAAACTTTTTTATTTTGAACCATGAAAATAAATTTCAAAAGGAAAAATTTTAAACACTACTAATTGCTTTCAAATTAAAACCCAATCCAACAGGTCTGTTGATTAATAGGACTATATGAGAAAATTTATATAAAGCACATCATCAGTGCTTGCCTCACCTACTTTAAGGCTGCAAAATGAGCAAACTCTCTTACTTTCAAATAGTCTAATCTCTTGCCAATCCTCACTCATCTCCATGCTCTACAATTCAGCCACAGAATCCTCTACGTCCCGGACTGAACCATGCTTTCTTGTCTTAAGGTCTTTTTGCATAATATGTTACCTTTTGCCTTTCTCATCCTTCTAACTTCCTTTTACTCATCTTTAATCTCACATCAGAGTTTATTTTTTGTAGGATATACTTTTTTACAACCTCCCCACATTCACACATATATACAGAGACACACAGCCTGGGCTGCATCAGCATCCCTTGCTTTCTTGTTATTCCCACAGTGTCTTGTGGCTGGGGACACACACTCCAGGTGACACAGCTTGACTCTCAATCTTGAGTTTCACACTTGCTAACTGTATGATCTGGAATAAATTTACCTAAACCCTTTCATCTCAGTTTGCAATGTACAAGATAAAGATCAGATCTGCCTGATGGGACTGTTAACAAAGATTAAATGAGCTAATGTATGTAAAGCACACAGCTTGCCACATACTAAACAGTCATTAAATAGTAACCAGTTTTATTATACTTATCATGGCACCAAGCCCTTTGCTGAACTATTAATGTATTTCCCCTCTTTCTTACTCACAATGAAGATGCCTTTAAAAATTACACATACTTTAACACTTTTTACGGCAGAGACTGCCTTGATAACTTCTGTATACCCTGGTGGAGTATCTCGTATAAGGGTGGTGCTCTGTAAATATTTGATAAACTACTCATGTCAATATGGTAAGTGATAACTTGTACATAAATAAACAAGCCTTCAAGAAATCAATTTGGTCAGTTATCTCAATTAAAGATTACTATTCTTCTGTATTCACAAGCAGAGAATGGTGATTTAACAACTCACTTCCCCCCATGTAATACAAATTAACCTGTTAAGATTTATCTAGAGAAGAAAAAGATCTAGCAGTTATCTCCTAAAATGATAAAAATAAAATTACACTTTAACAAACTGTCTTACAGTTGTAAACTTAAGACACCTGATTCTGCTACTTGTGTTACTTTAAGAAAAGTATTTAAACTTAACTATAAAATGAGTACGAAATACTGGCAGGGATATAAAAGAATGAATGCTAGCAACTAGCACACTTCCCAATATGGAGCATACATACAAATAATATGAGTAAAAATTATAAAAGCCTATGATCTAAAAAATCAATTCATGAAACTACTGAACGAATTTCAGATTTCCTCCCAAAATTTCAAAAACTATATAAATGTATTACTTTATAGGAGCAAAACTGAACAAGAACAAAAATGGAATATCCTTATATAACTTACCAATAATATTCTCTATCAGAAAAAGATTAGCAGATAATCTTTAATTTTAGGGTAAATTATATACGACTAGTGGCAGGTGAAGTAAAAGTCACACTGCTGGACTGACAGGCTCAATGTACATCATTTATTTCAACATTCTGTACCTCGACATCCTGAACACTGGATAAAAAAGTTGATTAAATCCAGAAGTGCGATGTCCCTGTCTTGTTTATATGATTCAATCCAGTCATCCACCACGGACTGTGGAAAAAAAATATAAAAATGAAAACTTCAAAAAAATTTGATATTATAGCAAATAAATTTTCAAAAAAGTTTGTGTGTTTGTGTGTGTTTCTATCTGAACGAGAAAATTACTTACCTGAAATTATTTCTCTGTAGCCTAATAAAAGTAGAGACTCCCTTATTTTTAAAGGCCAATAAAAAGTGACTTACTAGGTTTCAAAGATTTGTTTACAATAGAATCCAAAACAAATCGGACCTTACCAATCCCATTAAGTCCAATAATTATTAAGCAAGTATAGATAATATTCAAACCATATTAAGAAAATGATAAAAATTAACTTCACTTTTACACAGATACAAACTTTCTGAGTTATCAGAAAGCATAATCCACCAGTAGTGCATAAAAAGAATGCAAATAATAAGAGGCATTTTTTCAAGAGTACAAGAATGGCTTAATATTAAGAAATCAAATAACTGAATTTATCAACAAAGTGAAAAAGAAAAATAAAACAATTATATATCAAATCAGATCTCAAAAACGTATCTGATAAAATTCTGTAGCCAATCCAAAAAAAAAAAAAAACTTTCTAGGAAAATTAGGGTTCAATAAAATCTACTTAAAGGATAAAAAGACTAAAATATATTTGTTGTTGAAATACTTAAGATATTTCAACTAATTAAAGAACAAGGCAAGGATGCCCCTCTAACCATTCAACCCAGGGTTGAAGTCTTTAGTTAATGCAAAAGTTAGCAAAATTTAGTAAAGACAATTCTCCTTTCCTACAGTTGATAAGAAAACCCAGGAGTCTCTATTAAAGTGATTCAAGAGATTAATAATAGGAAAATTTGACAAGGTAGCTGACAAGATAAATATACAAAATAACTTAATAGTGCAATAACTAGAAAATATAAATGGATTAGTAGCTTGTTCACAACGAAAAATACCTAAGAATAAATCTAAGAGAATTTTTAATAAGGAAAATTATTAAAACTTACAGGATATTAAAAAAAGACTTCAACAAGTATCATATTCTGAATTTAAAAAAAGATTTAGTGTTGTATCAATAAAGTCTGAGAGTCTTGCCAACTTACAAGGCAAATTTAATGTAATTCCAGTTTGCATTCCAGTGGGCAGGATTGTTTGAGATTTTCTTGGGCAGAGGTAGGGATCAGAGGAAATGTATAAAAATGTAAATTTTAAAAAAATAAAATTTTGTGTACTAAGGTATATTTATATACAGTAAAATGCATTAATCCTGTTATACCTTAATTTTTATAAATACATACACCTGTGTAACCACAACCAAGATGAAGATATAAAACATTTCCACAACTAAAACAGGCTCCCTTATGTTGCTTTCCAGTCAGTAACCATCCCCAGCACAAAGGGTAATTATTATACTGATGCATATTACCATGAATTAGTTTGACATGATATTGAAACTCATATAAATGATATCATCTTTTTTTATTTCTTTCAAGCAAAGTTGTATTGGTAAGATTCAGCAGCATTGTTATGTGTATTAGTAATGCCTTTTTTACATTGCTGAATATTATTTCATTGTATGAATATACCACAATCTATCACCCATTTTACTGTTGAGGAATATGAGTACTCTTTGCAGTTTAGGGCTATCACAAATAAAACTGTTATGTACACACATTTGATGAATGTAAACATTCTTTTCTGTATTACAGAACCAAGAGCAGATCTGTTAACACACGTTACACACACGCATCAAGGCTTAGTAGATAATGCCAAACAATTTCTCATAACAAGTTGTAATAAATCACACTTCCACCAGCAATGTATGACATCCAGCAAGATGTGAGATTTTCAGATGCTCTACATCCTCACCCAAGACTAGGTACTGTCAGTTATTTTAATTTAGCCCATGCTGATTAAGCATATCCCTTCTTCAATGACCTTCCATTGGGAAGAACCACTTTCCCTTCCTCCAAGTGAAAGAGAAGACTTTCTATACATAATACTGTTTCACTGTCTCATCACATTAGTGTCTGGGGGGTTTTGTTTTTAAAGTAAAGAGAAAACTAGAAAGAAGATTATGGTGGTAAGAGAGGGTCAAGAAGAAAAGAATACCATGGTATCTGGGCAAGGTTCACCTCTGCTGAATAATGTGTCAGGCTCTGCAAGCTCAGGATGATGGTGAAAACTAGAAGTTAATAGAGCAGATTAAGAGCAACTTTTAGACTCAGGACTGAAGCAGAAATGCTTTGCAACCTAGGTAACAAAGTGTGGCATAAAACTGAAGAAGTCACTTCCTCACTTTTACAGGGGTCCAGTAATATAAAGGCAGTCTGAGTAGAATTTTAATTCCCAAAGTGATTGTACCAATTTATACTCCCACCAGTTACATATGAAGAGCTCAAAACATTCTAAGACTGGTGCACAGGAACCTGCATCAGAAATATTAACACTTTGGTCTGAGCGTGGTGGCGCACACCTGAAATCTCAGCACTTTGGGAGACCAAGGTGGGCAGACGACTTGAGCACAGGAGTTTGAGACAAGCCTGAGCAGCATGACGAAACCCTGTCTCTACAAAAATTACAAAAATTAGCTAGAGTGGTGGTGCATGCCTGTAGTCCCAGCTTACTTGGGAGGCTGAGATAAGAGGATCACTTGAGCCTGTAAGGTCAAGGCTGCAGTGAGCAAAGATCGCACCACTGCACACCAGTCTGAGTGACAGGGCGAGACCCTGTCAAAATACAAACAAAAACTTGGGGCCAGGCACAGTGACTTGCACCTGTAATTCCAACAACTCCTGGGAGGCCAAGGCAGGAGGATGACTTGAGGCCAGGAGTTCAAGACCAGCCTGGGCAACATACAAAGACCCTCATCTCTACCAAAAAACAAAACAAAAAAATATTAGTGAGGAATGGTGGCACGTGACCACAGTCCCAGCCACTTGGAAAGCTGAGGCAGGAGGATCACTTGAGCCCAGGAGTTTGAGGCTACAGTGAACTATTACCATGCTAACACACTCTCTCTAGCCTGCGCAACAGAGTGAAACCCTGTCTCTAAAATGAATAAATAAGGCTGGGCACGGTGGCTCACGCCTGTAATCCCAACACTTTGGGAGGCCGAGATGGGTGGCTCACTTGAGGTCAGGAGTTCCAGACCAGCCTGGCCAACATGGTAAAACCCTATCTATGCTAAAAATACCAACAAAAAGACAGAAAAGAAAAAGAAAAAACAAAAAAGAGCCAGGCATGGTGGCACATGCCTGTAATCCCAGTTACTTAGGAGGCTGAGGCACAAGAATCACTTGAACCTGGGAGGCAGAGGTTGCAGTGAGCCAAGATGGTGCCACTGCACTCCAGCCTAGGAAACAGAGCAAGACTGTTTCAATTAAATAAATAAAAATAAAATGAATACAATAAAATAAACATTAAAACATACTACGAAGGAACTGAAAAACAATCAGAAATAGTAAAATAGTAAACAAGGCCAGGCACTGTGGCCCATTCCTGTAAACCCTGCACTTTCATAGGCTGAGGCAGGCAGATCTCCTGAGCTCAGGAGTTTGAGACCAGCCTGGGCAATGTAGCAAAACCCGCCTCTACCAAAAATCCACGAATTAGTCAGGTGTGGTGGTGCACACCTGTGGTCCCAGCTACTTGGGAGGCTGAGGTGAGAGATCACTTAAGCCCAGGAGGTGGAGGTTGAGGAGGAAGCTGCAGTGAGCTGTGAGCGTGCCACTGCACTGCAGCCTGGGTGACAGAGCAAGACTGTCTCAAAAAAAAAAAAAAAAAAAAAGTAAGCAAGTAAGAGAACAAAGTACAGAAATAAAAATAAATAATAGCCCTTTGCATTAAGGGAAAAAATAAATGCAGAAGAAATAGATCCAGATATATATAACTTCCACTATGACAAAGGAGACGTTTCAATTTTAGAGGGGAAAATTATTTATATAATAAATGATACTGACCCTGATATATTGGTTATTCATCCAGAAGTAAACAAAGTTGTACCTTTTATAAGCTTTCATAAAGATATGAAGATAAATGAATTTAAAGAACTAAACTCCAGGCCAGGTGCAATGGCTCACACTTGTAATCTCAGAGCTTTGGAGGCCAATGCGGAAGGACCACTTGAGGCCAGGAGTTCGAGAGCAGCCTAGGCAACACAGTGATACCCTCACTCTACAAAACATTTTAAAATAATTAGTTGGGCACAGTGGCACATGCCTATAATCCCAGCTACTCAGTAGTCTGAGGTGGGAGGGTCACTTGAGTCCAGGAGTTTAAGGTTGCAATGAACTGTGATCTTCAACTGCATTCCAGCCTGGGTGACAGAGCAAGACCTTATCTTTAAAAAAGAAAAGGATTAAAAAAAAAAAAAAGAATTAAACTTCAAGGAGTCATGTATGAGCCTTTCTTGAGTTGGCAGAGAATGGCAACTGTTAGAAGCATTGCCAAGTATGGGCATAGGTGGGTGGATAATGCAGCCTGTCATAAATACAGGGGACCATGACTAAGTTAAGAATTTGTTTTAGAAATCACATATGGCATATAATCAAATTGTGCTGAAAATTTTCAAAAAGAAAATTCAAGCAACCAAAGGGTACACACATAGGGAAGCAAAGGATAGAATAATGACACACTTCCCATCAAAAACAATGCAAACCCATGGATAATACAGTAACATATTTAATGTCCTGAAGAAAGATGAAAAAGTCCATTCTGAATTTTTTAACTGGCCAAAAAAAATATTTCAAATAAAGGCAAATAAAATATTTTGAGACTAAAAAACTAAAACAAAAAATAAAAAAAAAACCAACCTCATGAAAGACAGATTGTCCAAGCTGGATAAAAAGACCCAACTGGCCGGGCATGGTGGCTCATGTCTGTAATCCCAGCACTTTGGGAGGCCGAAGCGGGCGGATCACGAGGTCAGGAGATGGAGACCATCCTGGCTAACATGGTGAAACCCCATCTCTATTAAAATACAAAAAATTAGCGGGGCGTGGTGGTGGGTGCCTGTAATCCCAGCTAATCAGGAGGCTGAGGCAGGAGAATGGCGAGAACCTGGGAGGCGGAGTTTGCAGTGAGCGGAGATCGCGCCACTGCACTCCAGCCTTGGCCCCAGAGTGAGACGCTGGGTGCAGTGGCTCACACCTGTAATCTCAGCACTCTGGGAGCCGAGGCAGGCGGATCAACAGGGCAGGAGATCGAGACCATCCTGGCTAACACGGTGAAATCCCATTCTACTAAAAATACCAAAAATTAGGTGGGCATGGTGGCACGCGCCTATAGTCCCAGCTACTCGGGAGGCTGAGGCAGGAGAATTGGTTGAACCCGGGAGGTGGAGGTTGCAGTGAGCCGAGATGGTGCCGCTGCACTCCAGCCCGGGTGACATGAGCGAAACTCTGTCCCCCCAAAAAAAAAACCCGACCACATAATATTTACAAGAGACACACTTTTAATATAAGAGCAGATAGGCCACAATAAAGGATATATATGTATGTGTGTGTGTATACACACACACACACACACACACGCACATCCTTGTCTTGATTTCTACTTTGATGTAACTATAACAATAACAGGTTTCTTATGGTTTATGTTTGCATGGTGTATGTGTGTATATACACATACATACACACACATATATACATATACACACATATACACACACCATGCAAACATTAACCGTAAGAAACATGTTGTGGTTATATTCATGTCAAAGTAGAAATCAAGACAAGGAATGCTACCAAACATAAAGAGAAATATTTTATAATAATAAAACAGTAAATTCATTAGGAAGCTATAACAACATTAAATTTTAACACCAAATAACAGGAGTCTCAAAATACATAAAGCAAAGATTGAACTAAAAGAGGCAAATTCATAGCCATGGCTGAAATTTTTAACACACATCTTTTGGTAACTGATAGAAGAAGCAAACAAAAAAATTAATGAGTGTATAGAAGATAGGGATAAAATTACTAATGTGATCTAACTAATACATAAAACTTAACACCAACAATTACAGAATACACATTCTTTTCAAGTACAAACAAGAATATTCACCAAAATAAATCATAAATCAAACCTCTGTAAGTTTTTAAACACTGAAATAATACAGAGCAAGCTCTCTTGCAATAACAGATTTAAAAATCTGTTTAAATCTGATTTAAAAATCAGTAACAAAAATATACCTAAAATGTCCCCAAATGTTTGGTAATGAGAAAATTTTAAAAAACTGAATAAAAACATCTCAAAAACTGTTGAATCCACCTACAGTAGTGTTTACAAGAAAATTTAGAGCTTTAAATATTTATAATTTATAGCTAAGTTACAGTTTATATAAAGAAGGGTTTAAATCAATGACCTAAGAATCTACCTTTTTGGTAGTGGGTTTTTCTTTTTTCTCTGAGACAGGGTCTCACTCTTTCACCCAGGCTAGGGTCCAGTGGCATGACCACGGCTCATTGTAGCCTAAATCTCCCAGGCTCAAGCTATCCTTCCACCTCAGCCTCTCAAGTAGCTGGGAACAGAGGCATATGCCACTGTGCCTGGTTAATTTTTGTATTTTTGGTAGAGACGGGATTTCGCCATTTTGCCTAGGCTGGTCTCGAACATCTGGGCTCAAGAAATCCTCCCACCTTGGCCTACCAAAGTGGCTTCTACCTTAATAAACAGAATATTCCAATGTGGATTGTCTCTATCTGGAGGATAAGGAAAAGTATGCAATATAATTCCAACAGAAAATTAACAGAAAGGCTATTTCTGATAACACAGCCACAGACCCAAAGAGAAGGCTATAGCTTTAGAACATCTGAATCACAGATTATAGACACACAATCATTCTGGGACCTAAGGTGACATAGGATCTTGTATCCTTAACAAGCAGCTTCCAAGGTCAACCATGAATATCAGTAATAAGACAGCATTTCATGGGAAATTTTTGTAAGTCATGTTTGGAAGTTGTGCATATCATTTCAGCTAATATTAATACTTCACAGGCAAGAACTTGTTAGCTAGCCATATATGAATGCAATGGAAGTAGAGAAATGGAGTCTCTGTTTGCCAGCGGCCTCCTTGAACGTTCTTCACTATGAAAAAGGAAAAATAACTTTTGGTAGATAGCAAGTCACCTCTGCCAAAAACTGCCCCTCTGCCTACTAATATTTATATGCTGCCTTCCTCCCACTTAGAGAAAATATTTATTTGCATGGATATAGGTATTATACTACTATTTACTATTTTAAAAACCCCACGAAACAATTTTAATGTCTATAAAGGAACGTTTCACTAAATGATAGTATATCCATACAGTAGAATGAAATGTAACTAGTAATACAAATGAGCTGAATCTATGTTAGCACTAATGACAGAAACAGTTGCTTCTGACATCAAATGCACAAAGAAATGAGTATGATTCTATTTTTTAAATAAATAAATCTCTCTTTTTCTCTCTCACACACACATACATATAAGCATGGGAAAAGGTATGGAAAAATTCAACTTGTGACACTAATAGGCTTGAATGTCCTCAATTGATTCCAGTTTAAGACTTGGATACAAAGAAAACCTCGAGACCTGAGCCATAGATCCTCAATGAGAAAGCTATAACAAGCAGCATCTGAATCATAGATTACATTCATATGACAAAAAATGATGACATTTGCTATAATTATGATTTTATCATATTGTACTAGAAGGCAGTATAAAAATTAATATTCTGTCTTGTTCCATAAGGAATATGAGGTAGTTAAAAAATAACATTTTTTAAATTGAGAAGAATAAAAAACATCAAGGCTACAAAGAGGAAATATAAATATATGGAAAAGAGCAGTCAATATGGTGGTTAAAGATGAGTTTTAAATCTGCCTAAGCTCCCTGTAAGGTAAACCTAAAAGATAAATCAATTCAATCTAGATATCTACATAGTACAGAGTCCACATTCTTCAAATTCTATTAGGTTAAGTATACTTTTCTCAGTAAGCCATTTAGTAGGACCTTGGTTAAGCAGACAAGGGCACAGAGAATTCGTATTCTATACTGCTGCTTAAGAGTAGATTCGTTTGCTTTGGAGAAAGATAGATTCGTTTGCTTTGGATTAAAGTAGATTCGTTTGCTTTGGATTAAAGATAGAGCTTAGCTCCTTGCCAAGGAAATGGAATGCTAGTAATCGATGTCATATAGTAACTTGGGAAAATTAATCAAGCTATTGCTGGTGGCTGATTGTGATAAAGTACCAATTCAAGCACATGCCTTGAAAGCTTACATGGCTGCTGAATTTAGGAATTACGGCAATAATTATGGCTGTAAAGGCAGCAGGGTTAAGAAAGATCCTTTTAAGTACACCTGAGTATTCACAGAGATAAAACAAAAAGCTCAAGTCAATTAATGCTCAGCTTAAGTCGTAATTTGAGAACCAGAGAACTTCCATGAAGAATCCTAGAATGTCTCATTTCTTATAGGTGAGGGGCTGATTTTGTTGAAAATCAAGCCAATAAAATCTAATTGTATCAGAGGCAATAACAGTTTAATTCAGTCTCACCAAGTTTCTCATCTGGAAGTAAGGATCTTAACTGGCAAAGAATGGGATCCAAAAACTTGGAACAGAGAAATCTGGTTGGTCCCAGATCAAACTAACAATTTTGAATAGCTCTCCCCCATCCTCCAAGTAATTCTGAGCCTCCCATACCAGTGGAAGTAGCTTGCTTTCCAAGGTTTGAGAATACTAGCCTTCTTAAGCTTGAAAGCCCTCTGATAACTTTACATGGACAGATGCCTTGAAGGGGGATGCTCATTCTCCTGAAGACTTACCAAAACCAGCCCCTGATGCCACTAGATCCATGACTAGGGTCAAATCTCACCATGCTCCAAGAACACAAATACACACTATAACCCAGAAGAAAATAGCTTATATACTCAACAGAAATCTGAGGAACATGTATGATAGTAGATTCTAAATGTATTTTACCAAAGGAGGTGGTATAAAACCATAACACGCCAAATTCATTGGTATCAGGCGCACTTACTAGAGATTCCAGACTTCATACATTAGTTCCTGTCGCTGAAAGTGACTACAACAGTTTATCTGGTTGGTGCACTGAAAGCTGGATTTAACAGCTGAGATACCAGAGCCTCCCTGGCCTTGACAGATTAGGGAGTTAGGAATGCTGGACTAGACTTACCATGTGAGAACTATACACATGCAGCCCCATTCCTCAACTATGCTCCACAAGAGGGCCCAGAGGCAATGAAAACTACAATAGTGAAGGGAGTAACTATATCTATGTGCTTTTAAAGTTCTGTAAGCTTACTCTTTTTTGTAAGCCAGATATGACTATGGGGAATGTGGTCATTAAGAGATTTCTATGGAGATGATGGGATCCCAAGGTAACACAGCCCAAGTGGCCACACTTAACCATCAAAGACCAAGAGAGCAAATTGTCTATAAAGGGCAGTAGGGACACACTGGTATTCACAACGTCTTGGCCTGCAGAGATCTTGGGCAGTAGATAACATTACCAGTACCCCTAGGAACAATATAGGTGGGCAGCCCACAAGAATACTGTTTGATTTATGGAGAAGAAAAAACTTTAGGCCTGGTAGGCAGAAATCTAACTTGTGGAGAGTTATGGACTCTCACCAGTCTCCAGACCTGTCTCAGTTCACAGACCCAGAGCCCCCTGACTGAAGGGGAACCAGATCCCTGTACAACTATTCCAAGTACATACAATAAATCTTTTAATCCTTTCCCAAAGGGACCTGTAGCCATTAATTAGAGATACTGTGCATTGTTGAAAGGAAATATCCAGACCTTTCATGTATTAATAGACACTGTCTCTGAATTGACATTAATTCCTGGGGATTCAAAATGCCATTGCAGTCCACCAGTTAAATCAGGGGCTTACAGTGGTCAGGTAATAGATGATGGAGTTGTAACTCATGTCTGTCTAAGAGTGGGACCACCACTGACCCACCCTGTGGTTATTTCCCCACTTCCAGAATGTGTAATTGGAAAAGACATACTTGGCAACTGGCAGAAACCCCATTATCAGCTTTCTAACCTACACGATTAAGGTCATTAAGGTTAAATATGGCTAAAAGGAAGTTCGTGGAACTTCCTCTCCCTACCAAGATAATAAACTAGAAGTAAACACTACATCCCTGGGAAATTGCAGAGTTTAATCAAAGACTTGAAAGAAGCAGGGGTGGTAAAATCTATTACATCTTCATTTAACTCACTAGTTTGGCCTATGCTGAAGTTAGAGGGATCTTGAAGAATGACTATGGACTATAATAAACTTAACTAGGTGGTTACATTAACTGTAGTGGCAGCCCCTGGAACTTGATATGCAGCTACTGACCTCACTAACTCCTTTTTCTCCAATTAACAAGAACCACTCAAAGCAAGTTGTTACCTGAAATGACAGAAGTATACCTTCGTACTCAACTAAGTATGAATGCTTTAGCACTATGCTAGTTCTCCTGTCTCTGCCATAAGGTAGTTGTATTGGTTATCTAATATCTCACAATTTCTGTGGATTCAGGAATCTGAACACAGCTCAGTTGAATCCTCTAGGGTCTCATTAGGCTGCAATCAAGGCACTTACCGTGCTGCATTCTAATCTGGATGCTCAACTGGGAAGAAGCGATTTCTAAGCTCACTTAGGTTGATTTCCTTGTGGTTGTATAACTGAAGCCCTTGACGTCCTGCTGGCTAATGGCTAGAGACAAACCTCAGGGCCAAGAAGCTGCCCACAGTTACTTTCTACATGGGATTCTCCAATGTGTCATTTTATTCCACAAAACATCACATTCTGGTAACATGTTCCAGACCACTGACTGCCCTGAAACTTTATTGAGGTGTCCACCAGGCTCTGAATTTGACAGGGTTGGAGGGGCAACTCCTACATTCTACTTTGCATATGTTTTACTAAGGCTTTAGATGTACTCCCCGTTCATCATAAACAATTAGTACAATGCTGTCAGTGTATACGTATAAAATATCAGTAAATAATTATGTAAATGCCAGAGGAGAAAAAAGCTAAAAGAAATGAAAACATTCCACCAGGTTGGAAGTGGAGAGGACAGAACAGGGGATTGCTATTTTGGTCACAATACCATCTGAATTTTTTTTTTTTTTTTTTTTTTTTTTTTGAGACGGAGTCTCACTCTGTCGCCAGGCTGGAGTCCAGTGGTGCGATCTCGGCTCACTGCAACCTCCACCTCCAAGGTTCAAGCAATCCTCCTGTCTCAGCCTCCCAAGTAGCTGGGACTACAGGCGTGCACCACCACGCACAGCTAATTTTTTGTATTTTTAGTAGAGATGAGGTTTCATCATGTTGGCCAGGATGGTCTTGATCTCTTGACCTTGTGATATGCCTGCCTTGGCCTCCCAAAGTGCTGGGATTACAGGCATGAGCCACCGCGCCCGGCTCATTTGATTTGTTTAAGTCATGTACATGTATTACTTAGATAAAAATAAAAAAGAAGAAAATAAAGATACGAATCAATAAATACTAGGTAAATAAAAAAACAGAAAAACTGTGGTGACAATATTAACATCAAGTTAGTATTAAAGATTAGAAGCACTAAACAGTAAAAAGGTGGCTATTATATGGTAAAAGGCTGAATATACAAAGTAGGCAAACAAATCATTTGCTCTGAGTTTGCATTTATTCTTGTATAATTCTTTTTTTTTTTTTTTTTTTTTTTGAGACGGAGTCTCGCTCTGTCGCCCAGGCCGGACTGCGGACTGCAGTGGCGCAATCTCGGCTCACTGCAAGCTCCGCTTCCCGGGTTCACGCCATTCTCCTGCCTCAGCCTCCCGAGTAGCTGGGACTACAGGCGCCCGCCACCGCGCCCGGCTAATTTTTTGTATTTTTAGTAGAGACGGGGTTTCACCTTGTTAGCCAGGATGGTCTCGATCTCCTGACCTCATGATCCACCCGCCTCGGCCTCCCAAAGTGCTGGGATTACAGGCGTGAGCCACCGCACCCGGCCTCTTGTATAATTCTTAAATCTAAGTTTTTCACCAAATTTTTTTCTCATTGAATTATTATTTTATTATTTACTACATCTAGACTCTACTTTGGTATATGGTATGAGGTAAAAATCTTGTGCTTTTCTTTTTTTTCAAGTTGTTAATCAACTGTCAGTCACAATTATAAGAGAAAGAAAGTATCAGGAGAACAAAAATTTTTTTGTAGAGATGAGGTCTCATTATGTTGTCCAAGCTAGTGAACTCCTGGGCTCAAGCAATCCTCCTACCTCAGCCTCCCAAAGTGCTGGGATTATAGGTATGTGCCAGCAAGCCCAGACAAGAACATAATTTTTAACTTAGTTATGTTATTGATACACTTAGGTCTATTTCTGTTCAAGTGATCCATCTGCCAGCTGTTGAGCTCCGCTAATTTACATTACTATTTTCTGAAGTTTTATGATACAATCTACAAATCGGTAGAGCAAGTCCTTCATTACTCTTCATTTCCAGAATTTTCTTGCCACTTACATGTAGGTTCTACTCAATCATTCAGCAAGTTCAAAAACAATCCCTAATATTTTGCTGTTGCAATACATATAAGTTATTTTAAAAAGATTTTTAAAGGAAACACAAATATTTCAGAAAAAAAACCACCTGTCTTTTTATCAAAGAAACGCAAATAGACCATTTTAATCTTTCAAATGACAAATAATGTATTTAAATGATGACCCTCAGTGTTGCCAGAGGTTTGCAAAATAAGTATTTACAATGCTGGTAGGAAGAGACAGCTATTTGGTTACATTTATACAAAACCTTAAAAATATTAATATTTTTGGACCCAGCAGCCCTAGTTAAACGAATCACATGAAAAATTATATGGGCATCAAGATTTTCTAAATGTTTACTTCTACTTAGGATAATGAAAAATTATAACACAATCAAAATGGAAATGAAAAAATGGAATTTTTTTATGGAATACCATATATTAAAAATTCACATATATTCAAGGAATATCAACAGTGGAAAAAATTAATCATTCCACTTTTATAAAACAAATATAACTTTAACATAAGCCTAAACCAAACACCAAACAAAACACCAGGAACCAAAATCTTAAAAATTATGACTATGTGTGATACTTTCTTCTCTTCCTTTTAAAGTTTTCTTCTAAATTTCTAACAAGAGTATATATGAGTTAAATAAAAAAGTAATAAACATTATTTTAAAAATTATACATCTAAAAGGAAATAATTTGTTAAATCATCTTAGTAAGTCACTAAGTGCTGACTATATACATTTTACAGTGGAAGGTGCTAAGTGGATACAAAAAGTGCTTACCATAGTTCCTGCTATAGGAAAACATTTAATCCTGCTTTGTTTTTTGTGTGGGGGTTGAAGAGGTGGGGGTGGGGGGTTAACAAAGAAACACAAATGTATCAAAGGTACATAGCCAATACCTGCAATGAGAGAAGTTCAGGTAATAAACACGGCTAGAAGAGGCTCACCACAGTTTTAAGGAGAGCTGAGGGAGTTTGTTTCACATGTAACAGATGCTTTTGAAGTAGCAGTTAACATTAACCACCTGTTTCTCAGAGAGCCATTAGCAAGAGCTGATAATGGAAAAAGGAAGGAAAAAATCCTTTGCTAGTTGCTAATGGTATAATGCCAGGCTTTAAATTTGGATCATATAAATTAGCAATTCCAGGCTGGGCACGGTGGCTCACGCCTGTAATCCCAGCACTTGGAGAGGCTGAGGTGGGTGGATCATCTGAGGTCAGGAGTTCGAGACCAGCCTGGCCAATGTGGCGAAACGCCATCTCTACTAAAACTACAAAAATTAGCCAGGCGTGGTGGTGCGTGCCTGTAGTCCCAGTTACTTGGGAGGCTGGGGCAGGAGACTCACTTGAACCCAGGAGACGGAGGCTGCAGTGAGCAGAGATCAAGCCACTGTACTCCAGCCTAGGCAACAGAGTCAGACTCCATGTCAAAAAAATAAATAAATAAAATAAAAAATAAATTAGCAATTCCAAGATGTTATTTCATGAACCAGCAAATCTCCACAAATAACTTGAGAGATGAGCAAAGGGTTGCCACAATAGTAAAGAAAAGAATCAAAAAAAGGTTAAGAAGAGAAATTCATTACCTTTATTTTTCTCTTTGTGCATAGACTAGTGTCAGAATTTTTAGACCCATTCTGAACTGCTATGCTTCTTCTCTATAGCTGCATTATTTCTTTATTACAAAATATAATGGTATCAACTAAGTCAATATTGAAATGAATTATTTTGATTAACCTTAGCATCTTATTAAAAGCAGTAGGCTCTCAGGCAATTCATTTAATACACAATTTAAAAGAAGATTAAATTAAAAAATTAATTCAGGGTAAGGGATATTGTATATGCTTAAGAAGGTATTGCCTGACTCAAAACAGGACCACTCAGAATCCTTCTCATTCTAACTTTTTTCTAGTTTTAAGTTAAATTTTAACATGATGTATTCTAGAACTCAATATAATATCTATAAATACAAAAAAAATTCTACAAAATCAGAACCACATTAAGTCCACTGAAACTGGGCTGAATTTATCATGAATTTTTTTAATGTTATCATGAAGCCAAGTATAATTAAAATAATTTGTAGAACAATATACTGACATAAATCAGCCTCACCTGATTCTCACATGAAGCCTAATAAGGGCCGGTGCAGTAGCTCATGCCTGTAATCCTAGCACTCTGGGAGGCCAAGGTGGGTGGATCACCTAAGGTCAGGAGTTCGACACCAGCCTGGCCAACGTGGTGAAACCCTGTCTCTACTAAAAATACAAAAATTAGCCAGGTGTGGTGGTGCACACCTGTAATCCCAGCTACTTGGGAGGCTGAGGCACAACAATTGCTTAAACCCAGGAGGCAAAGGCTGCAGTGAGCCAAGATCGTGCCATGGCACTCCAGCCTGAGCAATAGAATGAGACACTGTCTCTCAAGGAGATTTAAAAAACAAAAACAAAAACAAAAAAACAAACCTAATTAGACAGAAGATCAATTATAAGGAAACTAGGGGAGGGAAGATGTTTAGTGACTTGCCCAAGACCGTCCCAGTTAAATAATGACAACTTTCTATCTTTGTCTCCTCATAGTATTTTCCCCACTGTAAAATACCTGGGGATCAGCTACATGTCACTCAAAGCCAAACAAAACAAAACACCAGCTGGAGAGCCTATACAACTGTTCAATTTTAAAGCCAATTTATTCTAAACACCTAAGCCAATAAAACTTTTTAAATGACCATGTAATCTGTATCACCAACAATCGTTAAAAGCACAATGCTCTCCTGTCCTGGTACTCTAAAATACCATACTGGTCTTGGTTTCTTTCTCCTTATTCTTCCACTGATCTTCCTTCAAGATTATTTCCACTAAAAATATCTGGACTGGACACAATAAACTAGTAGTTCACACAGTAAAATTCCTCTATACATTCAACCAGTTCACAAAACCTCCTTGGCCCTTATCTAAAACTGGGCTATTATCCCAGTAACCTTGGAATATTACAGTACTTACTTTTTAGGTACTTTATGATAACTGCTGTCTCCTAGCTATTAACTATCACATGCAAGCCATCCTGTTTCTATCAGCATTCAAAAGACTGATCAGCCTTTAGGACCCTTGCCAGGATTCCTACCACCACTCCTCCACCTTGTGATAGATCAGCCTCATAAGCCATCCCTCCTTCCATGCCCAGTCACTGAAGCTTTGTTTCTTGGTTCAGTGTTCTCTATCCTAATTTGAGCCATAATGCTGAGGTATTTTGATATTCTTATTGAAGATACATCCAATATCTTTCAATCCACAATTTCTACTTCTGTAGGTCTGAGGAGAAGCTAGCAAGGAACATACCAAGGCAAGCCTCTGAGTGACAGGTGAAGGATGAAGTTTTAATATGGAATATGGGGCTTTTAACTTTCTTAATTATGTTTTTTCAGGTCCTCTCTGCATCCAGTTAGGAGACATTCATATCCCAGCCCATTAATGCTGCAAACAGCATGACATCTATAAACATTTTCTAAGACTATACATGCCAGATTATACTCTGTCTTGTTTTAAGTAACTCAGGACACTCAATGAACTACAACTACTGAAAGGAGTTCCTGGAATGAATCATAACTCACATTCTTGTTCTTTTTGCTGAAGAGTAAATTTAGATTACTAATATCTGGGTTACAGAGCCTTAGGAAAAATATCAAATAATTATATGAACTGGAACAGCTATAAATTTCATCTCCAATGCCTTCAACAATTATTTTACCTGTCCTAGATCAGTTTTCTCACTTACGTCTTTTAAATCAATTCCAGGCTGGGAGCACTGGCTCACACCTATAATCCCAGCAATTTGGGAGGCCAAGATGGGCAGATCACCTGAGGTCAGGAGTTTCAGA
Organism: Homo sapiens; assembly: GCF_000001405.40. Lineage (NCBI taxonomy): Eukaryota > Metazoa > Chordata > Mammalia > Primates > Hominidae > Homo > Homo sapiens. The sequence continues at coordinate 136,585,244 of NC_000003.12, forward strand.
CCAGCCTGGCCAACATGGTAAAACCCTGTCTCTGCTAAAATTACAAAAATTAGCCAGGTATGGTGGTGTTCACCTGTAATCTCAGCTACTGGGGAGGCTGAGGCAGCAGAATCGTTGGAACCCGGGAGGCGGAGGTTGCAGTGAGCCGAGATCACGCCGCTGCACTACAGCCTGGGCGACAGAGTGAGACTCCATCTCAAAACAAACAAACAAAACATCACAAAAATTATCTGGGCATGGTGGCCTGTAATCTCAGCCACTAAGGAGGTTGAGACAGGAGAATTACTTGAATGCAGTGAGCTGAGATGGCACCACTGCTCTCCAGCCTGGGTGACAGAGTGAGACTCAAAAATAATAATAATAATAATAATAATAAAAAAATAAAATTAATCAATTCCAATTTTTTCCTTTTCACCACTCTTTCCATCTGTGTTCATGTCCTCCAAGAATCCTAGCACTGACTCCAGATTAAGAAATCCTGTACTGAGATCAAAGGTCCTCACTGGAAGTAAACAAATCTCTTTTGTCTTCCTATCTCAAAAGCTAAGACTAAAACCTAGCAAATAGTGAGAAATTCTATCAACATACATTCAGTTTTCTTTAGTAGTTTGGAAACAAATTGTGAATTAGCTTTTTGCAAGGATTCTGCTTCATACATGATTCAAGTCAGTGTACAATGAGAAACTGCACAGGCATATTCAAACCAAATTTATTGAGAAAGAATTTTTAAGAAATCTCATTTATACCTGGATATAGCTTTATTCATGCAATGTTTTCTGTATTTCAATTCTTACTGAGGGTACATGCAGGATAATTTGGCTAGAAGCATTAAAGTAAGTTAGGTTCCCTCTTTGAAAATTAAACTAATAGAAAGTCCACCATATTTCATATATTTAAACATCTATAAACAATAATATAAATGAAGTATGTAAATACATAAAGTCCATTTTTCCTAAACATTAAATAAAACCAGTAAATGTATAATCCTTTATGTGTGTGTATACATATACATATACACACACACACACACACATCATAATCACAAACACTACAGTCATCTCTTTACTTACTTGATCTGCCCTAGATAATCTGTATAAAATTCTATATATATAGGGATAAAGCCTTTGGAAAATGATTTACGGGAAATCATGAAGGGACTTAATATTATCTAAAACACCCATGTTAATTTAAAACCACGTGTTTGAAATCAGCAAGTACAGAAAAATAATAACATCAATATATTTGCTAAAAGCTAAGCTCACGAGTAACAGTAGGTACCTTTAGGTGTAACTGAACAGAGGCTAAGAAAATTCCTATTTAAAGTTTCTAACTTCCTTCAAGGATCTAGCTCTAAGTAACCTGAAGGCAGTGAATGCTCTTCTTATCTTGGCACTAATCAGCAGCTTTTATAATCTATTGTGTTTTGGAGAAATTAAACAAAAGCAAAATATTTACTGCATGCCTTCTAATTACCTAAAAATAATTGTAGTGTGACTAATCTGTATGCACTAACATGGGGAAGCAAGCATCCAGCTATGAAATACATTACTTAGCTCACCTGAGTATGTGGTAAGTTCCCATCAATGGAATGTAAATAGAGGGGCCAAAGGCTTCTAAGAAGTAGACACTGCTTCTCTTTCTCTCTCCCCTTCCAACCAAGTGAATGCAAACAACATGAAGGCTCTAGGGGTAAGAAGAGCCAGAAAATGGAGGGGCTTAGATTCCTGAATCATCCTATGAAGAAAAGATAGCTACCACTAACTCTGGTATTGGATGGTTACATAAATGAGAAATTGTCTATCATGATAAGCTACTGATTTAAAGTACATTTTTTAACAGCATGTGAACTATACATGAAGCTGCTAGACTCATTTAAGACACGTTAAAATACCCAAAGTTAATTTCAGAGACTTTCTAATTATGTTAAAAAAAAAAAACAACTTCACTCTTAAGCAAATATTAATCTATCATCTGAGGATTTTCAAACAGCTATGAAATGAAAAAAGCAATTTGAGGCCGGACCTGATGGCTCACACCTGTAATTCCAACACTTCGGCAGGCCGAGGCAGGTGGATCACTTGAGGTCAGGAGTATGAGACTAGTCTGGCCATCATGGTGAAACCCTGTCTCAACTAGAAATACAAAAATTAGCCAGGCATGGTGGTAGGCATCTGTAATCCCAGCTACTCGGGAGGCTGAGGCAGGAGAATCGCTTGAACCTGGAAGGTGGAGGTTGCAGGGAGCCGAGATCACACCATTTGCACTCTAGCCTGGGTAACAAGAATGAAACTCCATCTCAAAAAAAAAAAAAAAAAAAAGCAATTTATAGCTTTTGACCCAATACATTCTGTATATTCTATGTATTACTTTTCATCCTAGGAAAATAAAGGGAAAACAGAACTAAATTGCTTAAAAAGAAAAATTAGCCAGGCCAGGCATGGTGGCTCATGTCTGTAACCCCAGCACTTTGGGAGGCCAAGGTGGGTAGATCACCTGAGGTCAGGAGGTGGAGACCAGCTTGGCCAATGTGGTGAAACCCTATCTCTACCAAAAACACAAAAATTAGCCAGCCAAAAATAAGCCAGGCGGGTCCCTGTAATCCCTGCTCCTCGCAAGGCTGAGGCAGGAGAATAGCTTGAACCCGGGGGGGCGGAGGTTGCAGTGAGCCAAGATGGCACCATTACACTCCAGCCTGGGCAACAAGAGCAAAAGTTTATCTCAAAAAAAACAAAACAAAAAAATAGCCTACACTTAACACAATATTAGGTCAAAGTAAGAGTAAAGATTAATCAAGTCCAAGGAAAATTTAGAAATTTGTCAAATACCTTTTATGTTAACATCTTTCCCTCATAAAAACATTCTTAACACATTGTTCAACAAATAGCAAAACATGAATTCGCTCTTCACTTGCTCATTATCTACTGGGGAGGGTAATCAATCAGTAGATATATACAAATATACACATGGCTGGTCTGATGGTAGTGGGTTATCAGAACTTATTAACATTAGTGTCATTAAAGTTGGTATACAACCCGCCACCCGCCACTGCTATATTTGACTGGTTTTTTGGGTTTTTTCTGTTGTTGTTTTTGGGCTTTTGTTTTTGTTTTGAGATGGAGTTTCGCTCTTGATGCTCAGGCTGTAGTGCAATGGTTGGCTCGATCTCGGCTCACTGCAACTTCCACCTCCCAGATTCAGGCAATCCTCCTGCCTCAGCCTTCCAAGTAGCCAGGATTACCGATGCATGCCACCATGCTGGCTAATTTTTGTATTTTTAGTAGAAACAGGGTTTCACCATGTTAGCTAGGTTGGTCTTGAACTCCTGACCTCAAGTGATCCACCTGCCTTGGCCTCCCAAAATGCTGGGATTACAGGCGTGAGCCACTGCATTTGGCTTTATTTTTTTTTTTGTCTCCCTCTGTTGCCCAGGCTGGAGTGCAGTGGCGCCATCTCAACTCACCACAACCTCCGCCTCCCGGGTTCAAGTGATTCTGCTGCCCAGCCTATTTTCTGTTTTTTTTGTTTGGTTGGTTTTGTGAGATGGGAGTCTCGCTCTGTCACCCAGGCTGGAGTGCAATGGCACAATCTCAGCTCACTGCAACCTCCGCTTCCAGCTTCAAGCAATTCTCCTGCTTCAGCCTCCCAAGTAGCTCGGACTACAGGCACGTGTCACCACAACCAAATAACTTTTGTATTTTTAGCAGAGAAGGGGTTTCACTATGTTGGCCATGCTAATCTCGAACTCCTGACCCTGTGATCTACCCGCCTTCGTCTCCCAAAGTGTTGGGATTACAGGTATGAGCCACCACACCCAGCCTTGTATTTTTAATAGACATGGGGTTTCACCACAATGGTCAGACTGGTCTGGAACTCTTAACCTCAGGTGATCCGCCTGTCTTGGCCTCCCTAAGTGTTGGGATTACAGGCATGAGCCACTGCACCTGGCCTATTTTATCTTTAAAAAGCCAATCAAGGCCGGGCGCAGTGGCACACGCCTGTAATCCTAGCAGTTTGGGAGGCCAAGGCGGGCAGATGACCTGAGGTCAGGAGTTCGAGACCAGCCTGACCAACATGGTGAAACCCAGTCTCTACTAAAAACAAACAAAAAAAAATTAGCAAGGTGTGGTGGCGTGTGCCTGTAATCCCAGCTACTTGGGAGGCTAATGCAGGAGAATCGATTGAACTCGGAGGCAGAGGTTGCAGTGAGCCAAGACTGTGCCACTGCACTCCAGCCTGGGTGACAGAGCGAGACTCTGTCTCAAAAAACCAAACAAACAAAAAACAAAAAATAGGCCAGACAGCAGAATCACTTAAACCCAGGAGGCGGAGGTTGCAGTGAGCCAAGATCGTGCCACTGCACTCCAGCCTGGGCAACAAAGGGAGCCAAAAAAAAAAAAAAAAAAAAAGCCAAATGCAGTGGCTCACGCCTGTAATCCCAGCACTTTGGGAGGCCAAGGTGGGTCCATCACTTGAGGTCAGGAGTTCAAGACCAACCTAGCCAACATAGTGAAACGCTGTCTCTACTAAAAATACAAAAATTAGCTGGGCGTGGTGGCACACGTCAGTAATCCCAGCTACTCGGGAGGCTGAGGCAGGAGGATCGCCTGAATCCGGGAGGCGGAAGTTGCAGTGAACCGAGATCGAGCCACTGCACTCCGGCCTGGGTAACAGAGCGAGATTCCATCTCAAAAAATAAAAATAAAAATACATAATAAATAAAAATACAAAAAATAGCCAGGCCTGGTGGCACACACCTATAATCCCATCTACTAGGAAAGCTGAGGCAGGAGAATCACTTGAACCCAGGAGATGGAAGTTGCAGTGAGCCAAGATCATGCTATTGCACTCCAGCCTGGGTGACAGAGTGAGACTCCGTCTCTAAATAAATAAAATAAAAATACATGTATCTCTGAGAAACAGAAGACAATTCAAACACTTCATGACTAAAAACTAAAGACTGGCTGGGCACGGTGGCTCACGCCTGTAATCTCAGCACTTTGGGAGGTTGAGGTGGGTGGATCACGAGGTCAGGAGTTCGAGACCAGTCTGGCCAACACAGTGAAACCCCGTCTCTACCAAAAAAAATACACACAAAAAAAATTAGCCAGGCGTAGTGGTGTGCGCCTGTAATCCCAGCTACTCGGGAGGCTGAGGCAGGAGAATCGCATGAACCCAGGAGGCAGAGGTTGCAGTGAGCTGAGATCGCGCCACTGCACTCCAGCCTGGGTGACAGAACAAGACTCTGTCTCAAAAAAAAAGAAAAAAAAAAACAAAAACAAAAAAACTAAAAGACTGGGAGAAATGCAGCTTATATTTAGCACTTTCCTACTTTTATGCTTGAATAACCTAAAAGTTACTCATATGACCAGGACTTATTGTAAAATATCCTGGACCAGTTCCAAATATTGGTCTAAGACATGTACAAGATGATGAGCTGTAACTGTAGAGTATAAAAATGAAGGAGTATAAAGGTAATTCAGCTGAATCTCTAAAGGGGTTCAATGATGATAGCTTTATAAAAATACAATTGTGGAGACACTATGGGTTATAAAATCTGAAAATTTCTGAGGATCAAATTAATTAATCAGTTCTAAAATATGTGCCCTGGTTTGACAGTTCACTGATGGACGTAAATATTTCATTTATCCAATTAGTTATCTGTGAAGTTCCATTTATTTTATCTGATGATGCACAACCTCTCACCAGGACCCCCCAGAAAAGCTGTATTGGTTTTGGTTGGGTGTTGTTTTGTTTTTTTTTGCATAATCTGACTGAAATTCAAACTCCATCTTTCACTTTATGCTTTCCCCATATTTTATTATATTTCATTAGATTTGTTATATTAAGAAAGTTGCTGCAAAATTATCAAAGACAAAATATGTACAAACATTTTTACATAATAAAATATTACTAATAGCTTTAATGAGTGACCTGCAGAATAAACACTGGCAGTTTGTGGACAGAGTCTTTTTTCAAAAAAAAAAAAAAGAAGGGAGGGAGGGAGGGAGGAAGGGAGGAGGGAGGAGGGGAGGAGGGAAGGCGGGAAGGTGGGAAGGCAGGAAGGCAGGAAAGAAAGAAGTAAGGAAGTAAGGAGGGAAAGAAGGAAGGAAGGAAGAAAGGAAGGAAGGAAGGAGGGAAGGAAGGAAATTGTTTAAGCAAAAAAATAATATTCCCTGGGCTTGGCGTCATGGCCATATGCACCTGTAGTCCCAGCTACTCGAGAGGCTCAGGCCGGGGAGGATCACTTGGGCCCAGAAGTTCGAGGTCAGCCTGGACAACACTGACCTATTTGAAAGGTCAACATCTCTATTTGAAAAAAAAAAAAAAATTATCTGTTAAGTGAGAAGCAAAGCATATGTATTGGTGGTATAACAGACAAGAAATATGGCTATTGTGCAAGTTCAAATAAAACCAAAATTTTCTTTTCAACAAGATGATAACTATGAAGTAGAATTCAGGATGAAGATGCCAAATCTTTCCATTTGGAACCAGAGAGAGATAATTAAAAGAACTAAATGCAAGAAAGAAAAGCACTGTTCCTCACATAAACTCATTAAACCTTTAAAAGGTATCCCATCACTTTGAAATGGCCCTAGGGTATCATCTTAACCTTTTCCTTTACATACTATCAAAGACATCATTCAATGGAGACCTCTTACATCTACCTTTGCTGAATTCAAGAGTCAGATTTCTTGGCCCTGGACCAAGAGTAAGAAAGAATATTAGAAACAGCACTTCAAGAAAGGTTGGGACATGAGGCCAGAAAGAGAGGTAGTCCTGGGTCAAAACCATCAAACTGAAGAATGGAAGGAAAGGGAGGAAGGGAAGTTGGGGATGATGATGGAGGAAGTATCTGCCTTGGACCGAGAATTAAGTTTCACTCTGAACTGATCCTGAACCCTCCCTTTATGTCTTCCCTACTACAGACCCATACTTGCTGATATAGTTTGGCTATGTCTCTACCCAAATCTCATTTTGAATTGTAATTCCCATAATCCCCATGTGTCATGGGATGGACCCAGTAGGAGGTAATTGAATCATGGGGGTGGTATCCCCTATAATGTTCTCATGACAGTGAGTGAGTCCTCATGAGATCTGATGGTTTTATAAGCATCTGGCATTTCCCCTGCTAGCACTCATTTTCTCTCCTGCTGCCCTATAAAGAGGTACCTTCCACCATGATTGTAAGTTTCCTAAGGCCTCCCCAGCCATGCAGAACTGCGAGTCAATGAAATCTCTTTTCTTTATAAATTACCCAGTCTCAGGTATTTCCTGATAGCCATGTGAGAACAAACTAATACACTTGCCCATATATTCAACTCCCTCAACCCTTGATCTCTATCTTCTTATATTTCCCCAACTTTCTCCTGATGGTGACCACCAGAACTACAATGCCAGCAACAATGGCCACCAGGACCACTAAAATGACAACGCTAAGGTTAGTTGCCAAATACTTCATGGTGGGTAAAAGTAGGTGGCAATTTCTTATCCACATAGAGATTACCAGCAGAAGGACTCTTTACACAACTGCATTCTGGGGCTGCCACAGGCCTAAGAGTAATTTATCCTTAGTCCTCCTCTCAAAATAGGCAGGGCAAAGTCCAGCAATAACCACTGTAGACAGTCTTCTGAAAGGTTTTCTGCTACAACTTGGTATAGATGATGCACTGCTTGTAGTGCACAACTTTGTCTGAGTTCAAAGGCACAGACAACCTGGCAATAATAATTTGTGACAAGGGTGTTGTTATCATTGGCTCAGGTCTTCCTTTTCCAAATTGTGGGTGCTCACTAGGTTCACCCACCAACACAATGATATCTGGCTGCACTAGTGGGCCTTTAAATATCCTTTCTGCCATAGCTGGGGTTGGGAAGGCAATCAACATCCAAAAAGGTATGCTCACTAAAGTTCACCATGCTCTGGTCACTCGCGCATGTTTTTTCAGAAATAAGGGATATAAACTGGAACAGTTCCTCTCAAAAGCCCAGTGCGTGGGACCAGGCTGGGACCCACCCTGCCCCTCACCTCACCCCAACACGTAGCACATTAACTTGTTCATGGTACATATTAGGTGAGATATGTCTGGTCTTCACCACTAGCAAGAAGCATTAGGCCCAGAATGCCCACCAGCGTCAGGCAACAGGAATGAAAACAGCACAGGAGGATATCCAGAGGGTGCTTGGAATAAAGACCTAGAGTTGGCTGCCTCCCATTGTGCTGCCTTAGCAGCTTCTTCCTTTTTAAATGGAAAATCCAGTTTTGAAAAACATCAACAGGTATACTTCTAAAATTACAATAAAATATACTTTAATGATTATTAAAATATTGAGAATTTCAATTATTTCACAATCCACCAGTCCCCATGGAAAAGACCACGTATCTATGATCTTTTACATATGAGAGAAATAAACATCTATCTTGTTTAAACAACTGCTATTTTCAGTTTTCCAATTTTATCTTCAGGCAAAGACTCTAAATGTTTAGAATATTATATGATTTTAAATTCTGTACCCAATATTTTGCACTGTAGCAGTCACAGCTATTAACACATTTCTTGTATTATACACTCAAGTATTAATTCTATTCAAGTATTTATATTTGCTTAGTTCCACAAAATTTTACTCCTTAACTTCATTACAGTATTTCTGTCTTTCAATGTGTTCTCCCCATCTTTGTCATGAAGTTTCATTTTAATCAATAGTATATGTGTCCTCTCATCTAATGTCTCAGTATCATTTGTTTATAATTACAATCCTTATACATTCTTTGGCCATTTTAATACTTCTTGAAACTTTCAAGCTTCTCAGTCAATGAATATTAGAAAATTATTAAAACACTTTTATCCATTCTATTAATAGCTCAGAAATGCATACAAGCCCTATTACAGTTACTATGTAACTGTCAGTTCTAACACTTACAAGTTAACAGGTAGAATTTAAATAAACCCACAGCTGCTTTCCTCTTTCCTTGGTATAGTCATAGAGTAAAACTCAAGCCCAGCTTGAGAATTCCTCTCCATTTGATGATACGAAGCGATTTGGCATGTAACTCATCTATAATTCGGAGGCTAGAAGAAACCAATGTCACTATAAAAGTCCATACTTTTCTTTGACACTAAAACAAAGCTTACTAACCCTAAGGGACAGAGAATGTCTGATCACAATTTCTAAGACACCTACCTCTTGCCCAATCATATTTAAATGGACAAAATTAGTTTCACCTTCAAAGTCAGTTGTCAAAAGCAAACAGAAGACCAAATTGTCTCACTAAGTATACTTAATTTATAGGTTAACAAGAGTTCCTTATTCACATAAGCTGTTGTTATCACTACACTAAGACCAAAGAAAGTTTGCTTAGTGTTAATCAACAGTTTTTAATTGTATATTAATAGATCATTTGATTGGTATAAACTATTTCTTCTTCCAAGACTAGAAAGTCCATGAAGGTAAGGGTCAGGTGAGTTTAATTAATATTGTAGCCCTGCGCCTAACCCAATTAGCTTGGAATTTTTGTTGAATGAATAAACGACAGTCCGACTTTTTTTTTGAGACAGAGTCTCACTCCCGTTGCCCAGGCTGGAGTGCAATGGCACAATCACAGCTCACTGCAGCCTTGACTTCCCGGGCTCAGGTGATTTTCCCAACTCAGCCTCCTGAGTAGCTGGGACTACAGACACATGCCACCACACCTGGCTACTTTTTGTATTTTGGTTGAGATGGGGTTTTGCCATGTTGCCCAGGCTAGTCTCGAACTCCTGGCTCAAGAGATCTGCCTGCTTCAGCCTCCCAAAGTACTGGGCTTACAGGACTGAGCCATCATGTCCAGCCCTATAGTCCAACTTTTATAGTTGATATCTAGGTGTACAAAATGAAAATGCCAATGGATTACAGAAATTAACAAGCTCTTACTCATAACTACTAAAGCAAAAAATATCACTTAGACTACACAGCTTGAAAGTTCCAAAATTCAACATGTATTTAATGTCACAGATCTAAAAGTCAGGATGTCCAAACTACTCTCATAGCCATCCTCCAATACCTATATTCACACAAACTTTCAGTGAACGCTACCAAGTCAAACAACTAGGGACCACCTTAGATTACTTCCTCTTTCTCATCTTTCCTAATCATTCCAGAGCCTGAATATTTGCACAATCTGTCACTTCCTCTCCATTCTCACTGACCTTCTATAAATTTGAACTTTCTACTTTGGGAGGCTGAGGCAGGTGGATCACGAGGTCAGGAGATTGAGACCATCCTGGCTAACACGGTAAAACCCTGTCTCTACTGAAAATACAAAACTGCGGGCGCCTGCAGTCCCAGCTGCTCAGGAGGCTGAGGCAGAAGAATGGCATGAATCCGGGAGGTGGAGCTTGTAGTGAGCCGAGACCGCACCACTGCACTCCAGCCTGGGCGACAGAGCAAGACTCCATCTCAATAAATAAATAAATAAATAAATAAATAAATAAATAAATAAATAAATAAATAAGAACTTTCTTTAGTTCCCTAATGGATCAGTGTTTAAAAAAAAAAAGCCTTTGGTCTGATTCCAGCCTTACCTGCCCACCAAATCATCATCTAAATTGCTCCCAGAAAGGCATTTCTAAAAATGAAAATACAAACAAGTAATTTTCTTTCTAAAATACCATCAATTTTACAAAAAGTATTCAATGGTCAGAATGTAGTTTCTCTCAGCTCCATTTTTACAAGGGCATCTACTGTCCTCTATGGTCGGATAACAGATTTTATCTTTGCATTTCCTGTTTCTAAATTAAGAAACGTCTTCTGCTACTGCCTACTAAACTCCTACTCCTGGTGAAGATGCTGTGAACACTGTTGAAATGGCAACAAAGGATTCTGAATATTACATAAATTTATATGATAAAGCAGTGACAGGGTTTGAGAGGACTTCCTCCAATTTTGAAATAGTTCTGTGGTAAAATGCTATCAAACAGCATTGCATGCTACAGAGAAATCTTTCATGAAAGGAAGAGTCAACTGATGCAGAAACTTCATTGTTGTCTTGTTTTAGGAAACTACCACAGCCACTTGATCAGTCGGCAGCTATCAACATCAAGGCAAGACTTTCCACTAGCAAAAAGATTATGACTCACTGAAGGTTCAGATGTTCATTAGCGTTTTTAATAGTATTTTTAATTAAGGTACGTACATTGGTTTTTTTTCAGACATAATAATATTGCACACACAATACACTATAGGGTAAATATAACTTTTATATGTACTAGGAAGCCAAAAAGTTTGTATGACTCACTGGAACCAAACCCACAATATCTCTGAGGTATACCTATATATCATATAAACCTTTGTGGTCCTATCCTTTTTCTCCTATCTTTTCAGAAAGTAATCAATATAAAAAACATGATGTTAAATAACCTTAAGTATATTTTCACACTTTATAAGTACTGTAGCATCATGTGTTATGCATCATTCTGCAATTTGCATTGGACCTTTAAAATCCATTTTTAAAATTTATTCGTACTGGTACCTAGAATTCTAGTTTACTCATTTTAAATGCAGTAAATAATTTCAGGCCAGGCATGGGGGCTCACATCTGTAGTCCCAGCACCTTGGGAGGCCAAGGCAGGCAGACTGCTTGAGGCCAGGAGTTCAAGACCAGCTTGGCCAACATAGGGAAACCTTGTCTCTACTAAAAATACAAAAAATTTAGCCAGGCGTACTGGCGCATGCCTGTAATCCCAGCTACTTAGGAGGCTGAGGCACAAGAATCACTTGAACCTGGGAGGCAGTGGTTACAGTGTGCTGGGACCATGTCACTGGCACCCCAATCTGCGCGACAGAGCGAGACTGTATCTTAAAAAAAAATTTTTTTTCAGAGTTTAAATATACCACAGTTTATCAATTATCCTGTTTATTATAGAAATTTGGGATTTTTATTTTTTTGTTAGTATAAACAAAGCAATGAAAAAAATATTCATTCCTATATATGCCTTTTATAAACATGTAAAAAAACTGTATCCAGAGGTTATATCTAAGAATTGAATTGGTTTTCTTTAATGTTATATTCTTAGTAAAGAAAAGAAAGAAGGGAAAAAGTGGTTTCCACAGTGTAAACACTCATTAAATATTTACTGCCTGAATGAAAACTCTTCTTGATATTACCAAAATAGTCTCCAAAGGAGAATCTGTACACAGATCTGTACTCCCACTAGTTGCTGTTCTACAACCTTACTGACTATTGGTATGGTCAGGTCTTTTTAATTACTCAATATGATGGGTTTTTAAAATAGTAGTTTATTCTGTTCCACCCAAATTTTTTATTAGATTTTTATTTTGTACTTCATTGATTTTACTTCTATCTTGAATATGCTCGTTTCTGATTACTTGTTCTAATTGGTTATTAATGCCATACAGAAAAGGCTACTGATTTTTTAAACTTTCTATCCAGGAACGTTGCTGAATGCTCTCATTAGTTCTAACAGTCTACGGTTTCTCTTGAAATTTCAACACAATTATATCCTCTTCCAATAGGGATACTTTTGCATCTTCATCTTCAATTGCTATAGCTCTTCTTTTTTTTTTTTAATGTATTGGCTAGGTGTTCCAGTACTGAACAGCAGTAATAATGCTTATATCCTGGGAATACACCTAAACTTCACCGTTATTTAAAAATGACATAATCTGAGCTGTAGGTTTGGGGGAGATAACCTTTACAAGCTAAGGAAGTTCCCTCTTGTTCCTAATTATCAAAAGTTTCTGTTTATAAAAACTATTAGCTATATATTATCACATAATTTTTCTAAACATCCTACATCACTTCAGGTAAGTATAGGCTTTTTTCTCCTGTAATGAGATTATCTGGACATTATACTAAAAGATTTTCTAATATTAAACCATCTCGGTATTCCTAAGATAAAACCTTCTGGTCCTAAAGTTTTCTTAGACTCAAATATTTGGGTTTAGTTGACCTTCTTTAACCTTTCTATTTAACTTCCATTTCTACTTTTATTATTCCTTTCTTCACAGTAATGTTAGGTTTGCTGTTTTTCTTTTTTCTAGTTTCTTTTGCTTTTGCTTAGCATTAATGCCCTTAAGATAACACATCTATCCAAGTAATGCTTTAGCTGGCTCCAACATTTTCACTAACATTTCTTTCACTAATATTCACATTACAACTCTGTATATCTCCTCTTTAATACAACCTTTTTTTTTTTTCTTTTTTTTTGAGACGGAGTCTCGCTCTGTTGCCCAGGCTGGAGTGCAATGGCGCAATCTCGGCTCACTGCAAGCTCCACCTCCCGGGTTCACGCCATTCTCCTGCCTCAGCCTCCCAAGTAGCTGGGACTATAGGCGCCCGCCACCACGCCCGGCTAATTTTTTGTATTTTTAGTAGAGACGGGGTTTCACTGTGTTACCCAGGATGGTTTCGATCTCCTGACCTTGTGATCTGCCCACCTCGGCCTCCCCAAAGTACTGGGATTACAGGCGTGAGCCACCGCGCCCGGCCAATACAAACTTTTAAAAAGCACCTTTTTATTCTCCTGGTAAATTTTATAATGCAATTTACCAGGAGAATTTATTTTACTGTGTATTTCAACATTAACTGCATTATAAAGAAAACGATCAGACATTCCTTGATGAAATCTTTCAAAATTTCCTTAATACTTCAGTTATACTATACTATTTACAGCTATGAAATTACTTTCACTTATCTTGCTCACTCCTGAGAACAAACTTTGGATCAAAGGAAATTTGTCTGGAAATTTCTCCAAAATTATCTCTTCAAAAATTGTATCTAAGACCGTGATTCCTCAAAGAACTAAAGGCAGAAATACCACTTGACCCAGCAATCCCATTAACAGGTATATACCCAAAGGAATGTAAATCATTCTATTATAAACATACATGCATGTGTATGTTCATTGCAGCACTATTCATAATAGGAAAGACATAAAATCAACCCAAATGCCCAACAATAATAGACTAGAAAATGTGGTATACATGCAGCCATTAAAAGGAAAGAGATTGGGCTAGGTGTGCTGGCTCAATCTTGTAATTCCAGCACTTTAGAAGGCTGAGGTAGGAGGATCACTTGAGTCCAGGAGTTCAAGACCAGCCTAGGGTAACATGGCAAAACCCTGTATCTACTAAAAATAAAAAAATTAGCCGAGCATGGTGACATGTGCCTGTAGTCCCAGCTACTTGGGAGGCTGAAGCAGGAGAGTGGTGTGAGCCCAGGAGACGGAGCCTGCAGTGAGCCGAGATTGCGCCACTGCACTCCAGCCTGGGTGACAGAGCGAGACTCTGTCTCAAAAATAAATAAAATAAAATAAAATAAATCCTTCATCTCTTTTCTTCCCTCTGATCTCTTCCCTTGGTATATTCTGGAACCCTTCAATCCATACCAAAGTCTTTAAATGGCTCTTTCATGTTTTCTTACCTCCTTATTTCTCTGGGCTACATTCTAACTGAGTCCAATAAATGCCAATACTTGAATTCTCCCTCTCATGGCACCTAAAGCAGTATTTTTCCTCAGTAACATAATGTACTGTTTTAAGAATTTACTTTCAATTTTCGAGACTGCTCCTGTTCCATATCTTGTTTCATCTTCCTTATTTTGTATAAGACAGAATTTCTTCTTTCATCCCTCTAGCATCTTCAACATACATATTCATTATTTTATTATTTATCCCTCCCCTCTTATGTTTCTGTCATTACCTCCATGGCAGAACCAGATCATATAAAAGACAAGAGTGGGAATTTTCAGACTCTTTCCTAAAACAACATTGGGAATTTTCACAGACCCAGTCACCAACCAAATGAACAGACATTTCAATTCAGGTGTCAGTTATAAGAATTATGTCCATCTTCTCCCTTTCCTCAGCTTTTGATTTCCTGTAAGTGATGTTTTAATAAAAATAGCCATGCAAACTACTACCCTTCTGAATATTAAAGGAGCCTCTATTAATAAATACATGGACAATAAGCACAAACTGGACATCTCAAGGGTAACTTGAGATACACGATTACCCTAAACATAAGCCTATGCAGTAGTTATTGGCACTTTCCTTCAGCCTGCTTTACAAATGGGGAGACTCACATTAGGCCTTGGCTTCATGTAATAAGCCCGATTCGATTCTCCTATTCTTCATGAAGCACTTTAACACTCAACAACCAAACTCCTGGCTATAAAGCATATGCTTTTCTGCCCTAAACCCAATCCTGTTCATCACTTTGTAGTTTTCTTCCATACAAACCACAGAAATACCTACTTTGTTTCTAAATCACTGATGTCGGCTTGTATTATCTTGCTCTTTATTTTTTATTTTTGAGACGGAGTCTCGCTCTGTCACCCAGGCTGGCGTGTAGTGGCACAATCTTGGCTCAATGCAACCTCTACCTCCCGGGTTCAAGCAATTCTCCTGCCTCAGCCTCCTGAGTAGCTGGGATTACAGGCTTGCGCAACCATGCCCAGCTAATTTTTTTTTTATTTTTAGTAGAGATGGGATTTTACCATATTGGCCAGGGTGGTCTCAAACTCCTGACCTTCTGATCTGCCCGCCTGGGCCTCCCAAAATGCTGGGATTACAGGCGTGAGCAACCACGCACAGCTGTGCTCTTTATTTTTTCTTGTTGTTGTTTGTTTGTTTGTTTTGTTTTGTTTTGTTTTGTTTTGTTTTGTTTTGTTTGAGAAGAAGTCTTCCTCTGTCGCCAAGGCTGGAGTGCAGTGGCGCAATCTTGGCTCACTGCGACCTCCGCCTCCTGGGTTCAAGCAGCTCTCCTTGAAATTAGCACCACATCCAGCTAATTTTTGTATTTTTAGTAGAGACAGGGTTTCACCATGTTGGCCAGACTGGTCTCAAACTCCTGACCTCAACTGATCCACCCGCCTCAGCCTCCCAAGGTGCTGAGATTACAGGCATGAGCCACCACACCCAGCCTAAAGAAGTACTATTTTTAATACAATAAAACTGGAAACAGTTCAAATAAAATCTAGTTAAATAAACCATGACCCAACTATTTTAGGAAGTACTGCCAAAATAATAAAAATCAGAAGGTAAATTCATAGAAAAAAATGTGCCCAAAAGACTGCCACATAAAAAAATTACAAACGTTTATAAATTTTAAATATAGCCAGTAAAAAATATTAATAATTAAAATTACAGTAAAAATAACATGAAGCAGATTTCAAGAGAGAAACAGTAAGAAGAAGTTGAAAGGTGGGTTAACACCAAATTATGGAAGGTACCAGAGTCCTGACTACTGATCATTATCTTTCAGAAAATAAGAAACAAAAAGTTTCAGCCGAAGACAGCTGGGTGTGGTGGCTCATGCCTGTAATCCCAGCACTTTGGGAGGGTGAGGCGGGCAGACCACTTGAGGTCAGGAGTTTGAGAGCAGCCTGGCCAACACGGTGAAAGCCTATCTCTACTAAAAATACAAAACAAACAAACAAACAAACAAAAAATTAGCTAGACGTGGTGGCAGGCACCTGTAACCCCAGCTACTCGGGAGGTTGAGGCAGGAGAATCGCTTGAACCTGTGGGGCAGAAGTTGCAGTGAGCTGAGATCGTCCACTGTACTTCAGCCTGGCTAATAGAGAGAGGCTCATTCTCCAAAAAAAAAAAGTTTCAGCAGAAAAGACACAGCATAAGAGTATAATTAGAAAAGAGTAATATGGATGAAGAGAAGAATACCATGAATTAAAACTGAAAACACTTCTATTGGTCAATGTTTTATTTCAAATATAGATGATGATAAGAGTTTGTTAATATTAAAAATAAGGACTGGCATTAAGCTTTAATACAATATGCATGAAAATTATTTTTACATAAATATCTCATAAAATAAAGGCTTACATTTAAAGAAAAGGAAGTAAGGCCGGGCACAGTGGCTCACGTCTATAATCCCAGCACTTTGGGAGGCCGAGGTGGGCGGATCACGAGGTCAGGAGATCGAGACCGTCCTGGCCAACATGGTAAAGCCCCGTCTCTACTAAAAATACAAAAATTAGCTGGGCATGGTGGTGTGTGCCTGTAGTCCC
Organism: Homo sapiens; assembly: GCF_000001405.40. Taxonomy (NCBI): domain Eukaryota; kingdom Metazoa; phylum Chordata; class Mammalia; order Primates; family Hominidae; genus Homo; species Homo sapiens. Next base: position 136,602,264 of record NC_000003.12, read on the forward strand.
AGCTACTTGGGAAGTTGAGGCAGAAGAATTGCTTGAACCTGGGAGGCGGAGGTTGCAGCGAGCCGGGATCACGCCACTGCACTCCAGCCTGGCGACAGAGAGACACTCCATCTCAAACAAAAAAAAAAAAAAAGAGAGAGAGAGAAGAAAAATATCTGAAATGCAATTATCAAAATTTTACATAAAAATACATTTCTGTCATTTTTCTGCTTGTATTTCTACCTAAAGGTGGGAAGCAATAGAAAAGGTCTTTAAAATTAATGCTTCCGTAGCTTGTTAACAATTCTTCTATTAAAGTATAATGAGGCCGGGCATGGTGACTCATGCCTGTAATCCCAGCACTTTGGAAGGCAGAGGTGGGTGCATCACTTGAGGTCAGGAGTTTCAGACCAGCCTGGCCAATATGGTGAAACTCCATCTCTACTAAAAATACAAAAATTAGCTGGGCGTGCTGGCACACACCTGTAATCCCAGCTATTCAGGAGGCTGAGGCACAAGAATCCCTTGAACCCGGGAGGTGGAGGTTGCAGTGAGCCACTGCACTCCAACCTGGGCAATGGAGCAAGACTCTGTCTCAGAAACAAAAGTATAATGAATAAATTATCAAGCTTAATGGCAAAAGGTCACAAATCTATTTTTATATTAAACTTATATAATTTAAATATTGTCATCCATTGCTTTGGGTAACTGGAAATTCAATACATGTTTCACCATTTAGCATCATCCCACTAATCCACCTCCTTCCCTGCCCACACAAATTCCAGGACTCTTGAACACAACACGTCAATCTGGTAACATACATAAAAAGAAAGAAACACTAAACACCCTTAAGGGCTTCAAAAAGAAATACAGGTAAAAAATATAATAGAAAGTATACTAATGAAAAGTTGTCTGTTTTAGTTCTAATAGTAATTCCGTTTCACAATTACCTAATTTTTTTTTTTTTGAGATAGAGTCTGGCTCTGTACCCCAGGCTGGAGTGCAGTGGCACAATCTCGGCTCACTGCAACCTCCACCTCCTGGGTTCAAGCAATTCTCCTGTACACTTCTCGTGAAAGGTGAAATAGTACAATTTATGGGAGAGAAATACAGTATTTATATATTTCACAATTTAAAAATATCCTTTAGCCAAATAATTCCACCTCTAGCATTTTAAAATGTTAAAAATGTAGAGACGAACATAAATAATAAACACATTTAATGATAGTGATAAAAATATACACACTAAAGAAAAATAATTATGGCTTATCCTTACAATGCATTAGTGAGAATGGTGCTCCTGCAGAATACTTAGTATTTATGGACTAAATGAGAAGAGATAAAAGAGTAAGAAAGTTATGGCCGGGCGCGGTGGCTCACGCCTGTAATCCCAGTACTTTGGGAGGCCGAGGCAGGTGGATCACGAGGTCAGCAGATCGAGATCATCCTGGGTAACACGGTGAAACCCCATCTCTACTAAAAAACATACAAAAAATTAGCCGGGCATGGTGGCAGGCACCTGTAGTCCCAGCTACTCGGGAGGCTGAGGCAGGGGAATGGCGTGAACCCGGGAGGCAGAGCTTGAAGTGAGCCAAGATCGTGCCACTGCACTCCAGCCTGGGCAACAGAGCCAGACTCTGTCTCAAAAAAAAAGAAAGAAAGAAAGAAAGAAAGTTACAAATGATGTAGTTCTGGTTATTCCTAATTCACTACTTAAGAATTCTTTTTTTATATCCCTTCTTCTTTCAAATACTCTGAAAGACACATGTGTTACTTACACTAAATCAGATTCAAAAAAAAAATATCAAGACAATAAAAATTCTCTTGGGCAGCTTCTAGTAGACCTTTTTACTTAGAACAATTTAAACAAAAGTACATCTTACGATTAAACAGCCATTCCTGACACTCTTTGCAAAACAAAGCAAAATAATAACCTTTCAGGATAAACTGAAAGGTTGCTTACATAATCAACAGAAGTATATAAAGTGCCAATATACACACTAACTGATTCCACCCAAGTTATTAACTGTATTGCTTTATACGTGAAATAAAAACTTAAAATTTACCTGCATTGCACTTTTCCCCAGTTTCACCACCTCAAATAATGTGACAGGCTCCCCTTCCCCATTCTGTTGAGGGTGTCCATTAGCTCTTCCACGGCCTGCTCCTCTAATTCCAGCTTCAATTCTGCTCTTCTCACCTGGAGATTTTCGAGGTTTCTTATTTGTAGACTGAAAAAAAGATAAAAAAAGATTCCATTCGATTAGGTTTACTTTGCTTTATATAAAATGATCACTACTATAGAAGAAATATAATCCCTAACCAAAAGAAACTTTAAAATTTCTTCTCAGTAATTCAAAAAAGTGCAAAGAGCAAAACATAAGTTTATACATAAAAGGTATGAAGGTAACTTTCTTTTGTTTTTTGAGACAGAGTCTTGCTCTGTCGCCCAGGATGGAGTGCAGTGGCACTCTCTTAGCTCACTGCAGCATCCTCCTCCCAGGTTCAAGTGATTCTCCTGCCTCAGCCTCCCGAGTAGCTGAGATTACAGACCCCACCACCACGACCAGTTAATTTTTGTATTTTCAATAGAGACGGAGTTTCACCATGTTGGCCAGGCTGGTCTCGTACTCCTGACCTCAAATGATTCGCCCACCTTGGCCTTCAAAAATGCTGGAATTAACAGCATGAGCCACCACACCTAGATGATGTTTTAAAAATTGCTTTAGTGTTTTGTACAATAATAATGCCAATGTTGAATATTTTAACCTTGCCCCTTCTTGACATTTCCTTCTGCATACATTCATTGATACTCTCCTACTTCCTCAGAAATCTTGTACAGAAAACATTTCTGGGAAATGCCATATATTCAACTTCTACCCCTACTGAAATGCTCAAGTATTTCTTAGTCATGCAACAAATATGCTGAACGTATCTGGAACTATTTCAGGTACTGGCAATACAGCAATAAACAAAACAGACAAACATTCTTGCCCTGATGGAGTTTACATTCTTTAATTAACATACCATCCCCTCCCCCCAACTTTATTTTAAAAAGTTAATACTTGCTATAATCTTATCTCTATCTCACCTTTAGGGCCAAGGATCATTTGAAAAAATTGTTGGCAGTCACTGTATCTATTCCTGTTAATTTCATTCATTCATACATTCATTCATTCACATACAAACTCATTCTACAGTTGCTACTTCACCAAACTCACCAGTGACACCAACGTTGCTAAATGCAATAGACATTTCTTGAAACTCTCTTAACAGACAAGACTTTTTTCCTTTCCTTTCAGTTATCTTTCCCCTCCCTGTATTTCTTACCTGCTAGTATTACCTAGAGGTCTCCCCTAAGTATCTTTTCTTCTCAGTCCTTATGCTCTCTATTGAGTAATTTAATTCATTCCCATTATATGCCTGCTTCACTTACCAATTTATGGTCTCTCATCTCCAATGAGATAAGTGTCTCCAATGAGAGACAATAAATTGAAATAAATTTGCCCTGCTTTTTGACACTGAAGCTGGACCCTGTAAACATTTATCTTTTGCCATCTGCTGCAGTATTAGGCTTTGTAAAAGGAAGGTACTAGAGGAACACTACAAGGCATAGCTTGGAGGGGCTTCTTTTCCTTATTATAGTACCTGCTCCCTGCATTTGCTTTTACTGTGTTTCTGACAGTATAGTCCTCTTTTCACTTCTGTTAGTAGTTAATGGCCCTCTAACCATTTCTGTGTGTGGATTAATATATAGAGTTCATTGCTTAATTTTTAAATAAACTTTTTTTAGAACTTTCAGATTTACAAAAAAAAAAGTTATGAAGATAGTACAGAAAATTCCTAAATACATATAGTTACTCCTATAATTAACATCTTACATTAGTATGGTACATTTGTTACAATAAACCAATACTGATACACTAACAAAAGCCCATACTTTCTTTGAATTTTTTTTTTTTTTGAGAGGGAGTCTCACTCTGTTGCCCAGGCTGGAGTGCAGTGACACAATCTCGACTCACTGCAACCTCCGCCTCCCAAGTTCAAGTGATTCTCCTGCCTCAGCCTCTAGAGTAGCTATGATCATAGGCGCCTGTCATCACGCCCAGCTCATTTTTGTACTTTTAGTACAGACAAGGTTTCGCCATGTTGGCCATGCTGGTCTTGAACTCCTGACCTCAAGTGATCCACCCACCTCACCTCCCAAAGTGCCACAATGACAGGCATCAGCCACCACGAGCGGCCTGATTTTTCTTACTTCTTGCCTAATGACCTTTTGGTCTAGGAGTCCATCCAGGATACAATATTACATTCAATCATCATGTCTTCCTAAGCTCCTTTTGGCTGTGACAGTTTCTCAGATTCTCCTGGTTTTTGATGACCATAGGAGTTTTGAGAAATATTGATCAGGCATTTTCTAATAGGTTCCTCACTGGAATTTGTCTGATGTTTTTGTCATAACTAGACAAGGGATTATGGGATTTGAGAAGAAAGGAGAGGTAACATGCTTTTTTTTTTTTTTTTTGGGGACGAAGTTAACTTGTTGCCCAGGCTAACGTGCAATGGCGTGATCTCAGCTCACTACAACCTCCGTCTGCTGGGTTCGAGCAATTCTCCTGCCTCAGCCTCCCGAGTAGCTGAAACTACAGGTGTGTGCCACCACCCCGGCTAACTTTTTTTTGTATTTTTAGTAGAGATGTGGTTTCACTGTGTTAGGCAGGATGGTCTTGATCTCCTGACCTCGTGATCCGCCCACCTCAGACTCCCAAAGTGCTGGGATTACAGGCTTGAGCCACCACGCCCAGCCAGTAACATGCCATTTTTATCACCTCATATCAAGAGTACATACTATCAACATAATTAATCAATGTTGATATTGACCTAAATCACTTGGCTGACATAGTGTTTTGTCAGGTTTCACTTCTGTACTTTTCTTACTCTTTCCATAGTGTACCCTTCAGAACAAAGTCACTATGTATAGCCCACATTTAAGGGGTAGGAAGTTCCACTCCACCTCATTGAGGAAGTATTTACACAAATTATAATTCTCTCACATGGAAGATTTGTCTATTCTCAACCATTTATTTATTCAATCATTTATATCAGTATATACTCATCATTTATTTTATACTTGGGGTTCTAATTCAATACTATTTGTTTTGTTTTGTTTTCTTTTTGGAGACAGATTCTCTCTTTGTTGCTCAGGCTGGAGTGCGGTGGTGCGATCTTTGCTCACTGCAACCTCTGCCTCCTGGGTTCAAGCGATTCTTCTGCCTCAGCCTCCTGAGTAGCTGGGATTACAGGCATGTGCCACCACACCCAACTAATTTTTGTGTTTTTAGTAGAGATGGGGTTTCACCATGTTGGCCAGGCTGGTCTTGAACTCCTGATCTCAAGTGATCCACCCACCTCGGTCTCCCAAAGTGCTAGGATTACAGGCGTGAGCCACCGTGTCCGATGTAATTCAATACTGTTTTACTTTGTTGTTCAAATTGTTTCAGCTTTGGCCAATGGGAGCTCTTTTAGTTGGCTCCCAAGTCCTTATGACATAATCACATCATTCTGTGTGGTTTTTCATTTCTTTTTTAGCACTTGGCTACTTACTGGCACAAGATGCTCCAGGTTCACCCTGTATATTCCTTGCCCCAGTTCTAGAATCAACCAATACAAGAAAGAGACTGGGTTCCTTTTATTGGAAAATGATATCAGAGAGTAAGAACTGCACACTGGTTGGCCGGGCACAATGGCTCACGCCTGTAATCCCAGCACCTTGGGAGGCCAAGGCGGGCAGATCACCTGAGATAAGGAGTTCTAGACCAGCCTGGCCAACATGGCAAAACCCCATCGCTACTAAAAATATAAAAATTATCCAGGCGTGGTGGCACATGCCTGTAATCCCAGCTACTCAGGAGGCTGAGTCGGGAGAATCGCTTGAACCTAGGAGGCAGAGAGGTTGCAGTGAGCTGAAATTGCACCATTGTACTCCAGCCTGGGCAACAGAGCAAGACTCCATCTCAAAAAAAAAAAAAAACTGCACACTGGTAATACCAGCACAGGGGTAGACAAGGTGGGGAGGATGACTTGATCCCAGGAGTTCCAGACCAGCCTGAGCAACATGGCAAAAGCCCATCTCTACAAAGTTAGCTAGGGTAGTAATGTGTGCCTGTAGTCCCAGCTGCTCAGCAGGCTAAAGTGGGATAATCGATTGAGCCGGGGAGGCAGAGTCTGCAGTGAGCCGTGATTATAGCACTGTACTCCTGGATGACAGCGAGACCCTATCTCAAAAACAAAACAACAAAAAGAACTGCACACTGGTAATACCAGCACAGGGGTAGACAAGGTAGGGAGGATGACTTGATCCCAGGAGTTCCAGACCAGCCTGAGCAACATGGCAAAAGCCCATCTCTATAAAGTTAGCTAGGGTAGTAGTGTGTGCCTGTAGTCCCAGCTGCTCAGCAGGCTGAAGTAGGAGAATCGAATGAGCCGGGGAGGTGGAGTCTGCAGTGAGCCGTGATTGTAGCACTGTACTCCTGAATGACAGCGAGACCCTATCTCAAAAAAAAAAAAAAAAAAAAAAGAACTAGACACTATGTTTTGCTCGTTGCTACTAGAGTACCTTTGCTTCTAGGTTCTTATGTGGACAAAACATAAAATACACCTCCCATATGTTACACATAACAAAGTCACTCTTTGAGCGGGTATCAGTAGCTCAGGCAGTTGGAGGAGCGGCCCGGCAGCCCAGCTCACTGAGGCTCTCTGTGCACCATGGCCCACTAGCACCCAGTATGTACTCTCCCCACTGCAATGATGCCCAAGAGGAAAGTCAGCTAAACAGAGGTGGAAGTCAAAGTGAAGAAAGAGTCAAAGAGGAAGACAGGCATGGTTGTCAGCTAAACCTGCTCCTGAAAAGTGGAAATGAAGTCAAAAAAGGCAGCAGGAAAGTACAAACAGGGCCAGGTACAGTGGCTCACACCTGTAATGCCAGCAGAGGTCAGGGCAGGCAGATCGCTTGAGCCCAGGAGTTCAAGACCAGCCTGGGCAACATGGCGAAACCCTGTCTAGACAAAAAATTACAAAAATTAGCTTTCATATATGTGTATATATATTTGTATATATATTTGTATATAAATATATATTTGTATATAAATTTGTATATAAATATTTATAGATACATATATATATATATACACACACACATATATACATGTAAAAGGTATAAAGAAAAGGGAAAAGGGGAGCAAAGAGAAAAGAGGCTGATCAGGCTAACCAAAAAACTATAGATTTACCTGCAGAAAATGGACAAAGCAAAACCAAGAAGAGTCCAGCTTCTGGTGAAGCCGGAGAAAAAGAAGCCAAGTCTGATTAATATCATATACTATTATCAGTGGTCCTTCTATTCTAGTAGAATCCAGAGGAATATTTTTATCAACTATTGTATAAATGCAAGTTTTTTAGTAGATCTAGAAACATTTTTAAGAAGAAGGGAATCCTACCCACATCCCATTTTTAAAGTGTAAATGCTTTTTGTTTTTAAGAGGTGAAATCATTCACTGGTTATCTTTTGGTACAACCAGAAAATAGTGTGGGATACTGAATTGTTGTCGGAGGCTTTGACTGTGTTGGGTGTCAGCTTAACATTCCATAGATGGGGGTTACTTTTCATATCCTAAAAGACAAAGCATATAAAATGGCAACATGGAGTTATAGTCCTGAATTTAAAAAAAAAATTTTGCATTTTAATGTCTTGGATATTTTAAATTATTTCTATTGCATGTTTTTTTATAGCAGAATTTTCTTTTTTTTCTTTTTTTGAGATGGAGTCTCGTCTGTCGCCCAGGCTGGAGTACAGTGGTGCGATCTCAGCTCACTGCAACCTCCACACCTCCCAGGTTCAAGTGATTCTCCTGCCTCAGCCTCCCAAGTAGCTGGGACTACAGGTGCCCGCCACCACTCCCAGCTAATCTTTGTATTCTTAGTAGAGATGGGATTTCACCATATTGGCCAGGCTGGTCTCAAATTCCTGACCTTGTGATCCACCCACCTCAGCCTTCCAAAGTGCTGGGATTACAGGTGTAAGCCACTGTACCTGGCCTTTAGCAGGATTTTCTAAAAACCAACAAACAAACAAATAAAAACTCCTTGATCATGGCTCTCCCTGTCAGAATTGTGTGCACTCTAACATCTTTGGTTGTGGTATTCCTGTTTTCCCAATAACTTTGTTAATGTGCTGTGAAAGACTGAATATTTGAGTATGTTGTGTATATGCTTTTAACTGAATTGGAGAAGTGTATTTAACAGCTTATCAACATGTGAAGATACTGGTACTTGATAGACTCAAGGAAAATTTGCCTCCAAATTTTAAGCTGGAAAGTCACTGGAATAACTTTAAAAAAGAATTACAAACTTTTTTTTTAGATTTTCAGTATGTATGTTAAGAATTGCACACAAACTGAAATGTCTGTGTACTAATCCCCAACACAACCAACAAAATCTCAATTATGAAAGAAAAAAAACACATTTACTCTTTGTTCTGTGAAGTTCTAAGGGTTTTGACAAATGCTTGGTGTTGTGTATGCACAATTAATGGTTATCATGGAGAATAGTTTACTTTAAAAATCCTGTGTATTGCCCATTCAACCCTTTCTCTTCCCCTTCTCAGGAAACCACTAGTTTTTCATTTTTTAATCATCATCATAGTTTCCTTTTTTCCACATATTAATATATGGGTTGAGTACCCCTTATCTGAAATGCTTGGAACAAGAAGTGTGTCAGACTTCCAGTTTTTTCAAATTTTAGAATATTTGCACATACATAATGAAACATCTTGGGGATGGAACTCAAGTCTAAACATGAAACTCGTTTATGTTTCACATATACCTTACACACACAGCCTGAAAGGAATTTTACATAATTTTTTTTTCTTTTAGACACAGTTTCACTCTTGCCGCCCAGGCTGGATTGCAACGGCACAATCTAGGCTCACTGCAACCTCCGCCTCCTGGGTTCGAGCGATTCTCCTGCCTCAGACTCCCAAGTAGCTGGGATTACAAGCATGCGCCACCATGCCCGGCTAATTTTGTGTTTTTAGTAGAGATGAGGTTTCTCCATGTTGGTCAGGCTGGTCTCGAACTCCCGACCTCAGGTGATCCGCCCGCCTCAGCCTCCCAAAGTGCTGGGATTACAGGTGTAAGCCATCGTGCCTGGCCATAATATTTTTAATAATTTTGTGCATGAAACAAAGTTTTGACCTTTTTACTTTTTCTTTTTTTTTGAGACACAGTCTTACTCTGTCACCCAGGCCGGAGTACAGTGGCACGATCACAGCTCACTGCAACCTCCCCTCCCAAGCTTAAGCAATCCTCCAGCCTAAGCCACCTAAGTAGTTGGGACTATAAGCACTAGCCACCACACCCAGCTTTTTTTTTTTTTTTTTTTTTTTTTTTGGTACAGATGGGTTTTGCCATGTTGCCCAGGCTGGTCTCGAACTCCTGAGCTCAAGATATCTGCCTGCCTCACCTCCCAAATGCTGGGATTACAGGGGTAAGCCACTGCATCTCGCCTTAATCTTGGTTTTAACTGTGACCCGTCACATAAGGTTATGTGTGGAATTTTTTTTTTTTTATAAGACAGAGTCTCGCTCTGTCGCCCAGGCTGAAGTGCAGTGGCGCGATCTCGGCTCACCGCAAGCTCCGCCTCCTGGGTTCACGCCATTCTCCTGCCTCAGCCTCCCGAGTAGCTGGGACTACAGGTGCCCGCCACCATGCCCAGCTAAGTTTTTGTATTTTTAGTAGAGACTGGGTTTCACTGTGTTACCCAGGATGGTCTCGATCTCCTGACCTTGTGATCTGCCCGCCTCGGCCTCCCAAAGTGCTGGGATTACAGGCATGAGCCACTGCGCCTGGCCTATGTGTGGATTTTTTATATGGCTATATGTTCGGATTCAGAAAGTTTCGAACTTCAGAGCATTTCAGATTTCAGATTTTTCTATTAGGGTTGCTCAACCGTAACTGGAGTCTAACAACATGTAGGCCTTTTAGACTAACATCTTTCACTTTAATAATATGCATTTAAGATCCATGTCTGGCTGGGCACGGTGGCTCACACCTCTAATCCCCGTACATTGAGAGGACAAGGCGGAAGGATTGCTGAGGCCAAGAGTTCAAGACCAGCCTGGGAAACAAAGCAAGACTCCTTCTCTACAAAAAAATAAAAAAATTTATCAATTGACAAGAAATACAAAGAAAAAAGAAAAAATATCTAAAGATAAAGGATAAAAAAAACAAAAAACAAGAACAAAAAAGTTAGCTGGACACGGTGGCATGTGCCTGTAGCTCCAGCTATGCAGAAGGATGGCTTGAGCCTAGGAGCCTGAGGCTGCAGTGAGCCATGAACGTTCCACTGCACTCTCTCCAGCCTGAACAACAGAGCAAGACCCTGTCTTAAAACAAAAACATTCATCCATGTCTTTTAGTGGCCAAATAGGTCATTCAAAAAAATTGTTGAATAGCATTCCATTCCATGGATGTATCACACTTTGTTAGCCATTTACCAAATAATGGGCATCTGGGTCACCACTGTTAGGCAATTACAAATAAAAAACATTCACAAGCAGGTTTTTCTGTGTACTTAATTTTTAAAATCAGCTATGTATATACCTAGAGGTATAACTGCTGGAACTTTGAGTAAGACTATGTTTAGCTTTGTATGAAATTGCCAAACTGTCTTTCAAAGTGGCTGTACCATTTTGCATTTCTACCAGCAAGAAATGAGAGTTTCTGGGCCGGGCGCAGTGGCTCACACCTGTAATCCCAGCACTTTGGGAGGCCGAGGTGGGCGGATCACGAGGTCAGGAGATTGAGACTATCCTGGCTAACATGGTGAAACTCTGTCCCTTACTAAAAATACAAAAAAAATTAGCCAGGTGTGGTGGCGGGTGCCTGTAGTCCCAGCTACTTGGGAGGCTGAGGCAGGAGAACGGTGTGAACCCAGGAGGCGGAGCTTGCAGTGAGCCACGATCATGCCACTGCACTCCAGCCTGGGCAACAAAGTGAACAGAGTGAGACTCCGTCTCAAAAAAAAAAAAAAAAAAAAAAGAAATCAGAGTTTCTGTGGTATCACATACCTCCCAGGAAACTGATATTGTCAGATTTTTAAATTTCAGCCATTCTAATAGGCATGTAGTAGGATCTCATTGTTGTCTTGATTTGCAGTTCCCAAATGACAAATGATTTGAAGCCTTTAAATAGTTAATAATTATTTTTTAAGATGGAGTCTTACTCTGTCACCCAGACTAGAATGTAATGATGCAATCTCAGCTCACTGCAACCTCTGCCTCCCAGGTTCAGGTGATTCTTGTGCCTCAGGCTCCCAAGGAGATGGGATTACAGGTGTGTGCCACCACACCCAGGTAATTTTTTTATTTTTAGTAGAGATAGGGTTTCACCATGTTGGCCAGGCTGGTCTCGAACTCCTGGACTCAAGTGATTTGCCCCGCCTTGGCTTCCCAAAGTGCTAGAATTACAGGTGTGCGCCACTGTGCCCGGCCAATTAATTCTTTACATTAATTTTTCTCCATTTGAATTACTGGCAATGATTCTCTCACCAGACTGGACCCAGACTGATTCTTTATATGTGCACTGTCCAACATGGTAACCACTATCCCCAAACATGGCTTTCAAAGAACTTATACTGGCTGGGCGTCGTGGCTCATGCCTGTAATCCCAGCACTTTGGGAGGCTGATGCGGATGGATTAGCTGAGGTCAGGAGTTTGAGACCGGCCTGGCCAGCATGGTGAAACCCCGTCTACACTAAAAATACAAAAAATTAGCCAGGCATGGTGGTACGCGCCTGTAGTCCTAGTTACTCAGGAGGCTAAGGCAGGAGAATTGCTTGAACCCGGGAGGCGGAGGTTGCAGTGAGCCAAGATTGTGCCACTGCACTCCAGCGTGGGCAACAGAGAAAGACTCTGCCTCAAAAAATAAACAAATAAAATAAAAAAGAACTTATATTATTTAAGATGTATTTTCAACATCCTAATACAATCTTGTCAATTGGTAGTGATGAAGGAACACTAGTGTTTTATATCCCATAAACAACAGTACAAATGAAATATCTATGGTCCATAGGGTTATTAATACAGAAATTAGAGTTCATTACTGCAGGTAATTCAAGGGACATAGTGATTTTAAAATATTTTAATGAGTATGTATAGGAAAGCAAACCTGAAATACCTGAAAGAAAGCCTGCAGCAACACAGTAAGTAATGAATTTCATGGAAAATATGTTACATATACATAGGAAGTCATTAATCTTCACTGTTCCTATATAAAAATGATGCAATCTAATCTCAGAATTTACAGCAATCTTTAGGACAACTGTATACTATTCAATTTAAATGTGTATCTACATTTCTAGTAAACTGTTTTAAATACACAAATTAGCCCTGCTGTGTAGGAAAATAACTTATCCCAAATACTCTATTCCAAAGCTCTAGAATAGGTTAAGTTGCAGTATGAATGTGCAATGACTTTCCTAGAAGTTTTAAGAAACAAAGATACAAAAACATTCTTTAACCTTTGTGCCTTATCTGGCATAATGAGCTGTGAATGTGAAATAATCCACACCGTATCACAAATAATATATATTAACTTTTTTGGGGACTGCATAATGCAAAAATTTTATACATACACAATTAAAAGATAAAGAGATAAATACGTGCAATATAAAATAATAAACTATAGTATACAAAGATACTTTTAATGGAATTTTGGTTTATGATAAGTGCTAAAAACCTTCTAAGAGAAACATTATTTTTAGTACCGAGAAGCAGGAAAAGTTTCACAAAAAAATTATGCTGCAAGTTGGGACTTCATGAACTCATAAAATTAGTTAAGAATTAGTATTAGTAAGATTAGCATATGTAGAATTTAGAAAACAAGGGTTCCAGAACGAAAAAACACAATGAGCAATGGTGTGAATGTGGGAAAGCAAAAGCCATACATGAAAAAACAAGAGACAGATAGATACCTGACTAAAAAGTTGTGAACAGGGAAATACAATAAAATATTAGGTGTAATATTAGGTTAGTTGAAGATACCCCACACTTTTTCATAAAATGGCATTGCCTGTGAGCTGAGATCGTGTCACTGCACTCCAGCCTGGGTGACAACAAGACTTTGTCCAAAAAAAAAAAAAAAAAAAAAAAAAAAGGAGTGGGGGCACTGCCTGCTTTTTGAATAAGAAAAAACATATTCGTGGCCGGTCGGTGGCTCACGCCTGTAATCCCAGCACTTTGGGAGGCCGAGGCAGGCAGATCACGAGGTCAGGAGATTGAGACCATCCTGGCTAACACGGTGAAACCCCATCTCTACTAAAAATACAAAAAATTATCCGGGCGTGATGGTGGGCACCTGTAGTCCCAGCTACTTGGGAGGCTGAGGCAGGGGAATGGTGTGAACCTGGGAGGCGGAGCTTGCAGTGAGCCAAGGTCGTGCCACTGCACTCCAGCCTGGGCAATAGAGCAAGACTCCAAATCAAAAAAAAAAAGAAAATGAAAAAAAAGAAAAAACATATTCCCACCCGGCACTATTAAAAAGGATGAAATAGAAAAAGACAAAGACCAAAGGTAGGAAGCTAACAGTACAGCTGCCAATAAAGTAAGCCCTAAAGATACAAACTTGGGAAATGTAAAATAAAGGACAGATGTGGAAGACACAGTGAGCTTATAAAGTAAAAGTCATCAGACGCTGGGCGCAGTGGCTCGCACCTGTAATCCCAGCACTTTGGGAGGCCAAGGCGGGTGGATCACGAGGTCAGGAGATCAAGACCATCCTGGTTAACACGGTGAAACCCCGTCTCTACTAAAAATACAAAAAAAGTAGCCAGGCATGGTGGTGGGCACCTGTCGTCCCAGCTACTCGGGAGGCTGAGGCAGGAGAATGGCATGAACCTGGGAGGCGGAACTTGCAGTGAGCCGAGATCGCGCCACTGCACTCCAGCCTGGGCGACAGAGCAAGACTCCGTCTCAAAAAAAAAAAAAAAGTCATCAGACCTCAAATTTCAATAGATAAAGGAGACAGGACAAGAGACTTGGAGATGAGGAAATGTAACAATGACTCAGGTCTTAATTCTGTGTTCTTGGAACTGTGGTAGTCTTTAACATAATTAAGGAAGTCAGAACTAAAAACTAGTCTAGTCAGTAGAAGAAAATTCTAAATGAAAAATTAAGAAAACAACAAAGACAGCTTAAAAAGAAGTCCAACTAATATACTTCCTAAAGTGATCACAAAAGAGTGCACATTTAAGCTCCAAAAAAATTTTTTATAGAGATCTTTGTTTCTTAGAAAAATAAAAATAGAAAAAGTAGTACAGAAAATTATAAATAGGCTGGGCCCAGTGCCTCATGCCTGTAATCCAGCACTTTAGGAGTCCTACTGGGCAGACTGCTTGAGCCGAGGAGTTTGAGACCAGCCTGGGCAACATGACGAAACCTTGCCTCTACAAAAACTTAGCCGGTGTGGTGATGCATGACTGTAGTCCCACTCCAAAGGCTGAGGTGGGAGAATCACTTGAACCTGGGAAATCGAATCTGTGGTGAGCTGTGATCATACCACCTTTATTCACAAATAATGAACAATATAGAAAGTACTGATTTAAACTTCACCACTTAAAAATTAGAAAAGACTTAACCATTATAAGCAGTAACATAGCATATACCCATATATTTTGCTGTGTGAAAGGCAATAATATATGTCAAAAGCTTTCAAAACAAACAGCATATACTAACAAACTTCACTTCTAGAAATTTAGGATTAAAAAAAACAATGGCTATACAGCAAAACTTACTTGCAAAACAGTTCATGTCAGCATGGTTTAGAATAGTTAAGAATTTTTAACATAAATGCTCAACATGGCACCAACTCTGCAATTGGTTTGTCAGTGTCCCACATTAACTCCCTGGGCCTGGTCATTCAGTTTCCAGCCTCTGCTGAGTCCCTCATACTATTCCAAGTGTAGCAGGGGAAATTGAGAGGCCCTTCCTCAAGCTCTGGTCTTAATGGAGGTACAAGGGAGACATCTACAGGGAACCATGAGATCATTGGTGTTGGAAATGCTAAGTCAGTCCTTCTTTAGGCTGGATGTTGGTAGTGGTCATCACAAAGTCCATATATTTTATATCCAGGCCTTCACCTGGCCTATGGACTTATACCCATGTGCCTGGTTTATCAGTTCAATGGTTCTTCAGCCCATTACAGATAAGGAGCTATACTGAAGATCAAGGAGGAACCACTGGAGTCTGAATGTTCCTGAAAGATTGACTTAGTCCTAGCTTAGTCCTCATAAAACCTGGTAACAACAGGGTTGGTACTTTTACTCTCTATTTTACAGGAGTTATAACAGATTGTTAAAGGACAACCAAGAAAGGACAAAAGAAGTGACAGTCAGAGGTTGAGAGGAGCCAGAAAAAATCTAGCAGACATCTGCCACCACATTGTAACATGGTGGTTCCTATCACAACGCTGGGTCAAAAAGAGATTGATTTGATTTATAATGCTAAACCAAGAGGGTGGGCAAATAAAAATTTTGGTATTTAAAAGAAAAAAAAACTTTGGAATTTGAATATTATGAAATTCCCAACAGTCTACATTAAACTACCAAATAATTTTAAAGATCCAATTTTTATAAGTGACCTGTTAACTTACCCTTCTGGTACTCATTAATCTTTTGTTGTGCATTCTCCATCTTCTATGTATGAATAGACATTTAAAAATAAAAACTGTATCTTTTTATTGTTAGATATGAGTTCTAAATTTCTTTTCAAAGAAAAGTATGTTCAATTCTTTGCCTTCTACTTTTAAACTTAACTTCCTCATAAAGCAACCTTTTCCAATTACCTGCTCCACCCTGACTCATTCCAATCACCTGCTCCACCCTGACTCATTCCGATCACCTGCTCTGTCATAACCATTTTTCCCACCAAACCACTCACCCCGTCACTCTCTTTAAATTAGCCAATCGGAATTAGTTTAGCCTGGGTGGTCTAACCCTAGCCAATAAGGGAATGACACAGCAGCAGGCGCCACATGCGTCAGGGATAAGAACCCCTTCCCCTCCCTTGTCCAAGTGTGCACTCACCATTGTTCCATCTGTAAGGGCGCACCCTTCTATAGAAGTACCTTGCCTTGCTGAGAATTAAAAGAACATTTTATATTCAAGTGCTATTTCTTTTGCAGCACTGAAACTTTATATACAACATTATTTACCTCTCCTACTCAGCCTATGCAAATATGAAAGTTAAATAATGTTGAGAATATAGAAGTGCTGGTTCTCACTAAGAGAAAAAAATCCATAATAAAACACGAGAGACTAAAGAGGGGTTAAGGTTAGAGAGGTGCTGATTTACATGACAACTACAAGCAACATAAAATCCTGGACTAGACCCTGATTCAGGAAAAGAATAGTTTTTCTTTTCTTTAAGGGATTAGATTATGACAACTGGCAAAATCTAAATGAGATGTATAGATATCATTCTTATATCAATATTATTTTCATATTTTCATAACTGTACTGTGGTTATGTAAGAAAAAATGTCCTTGACTGCAAAGAAATACACACTAAACTATTAGAAATAAAGTGCTGCGAAGAGATATTCTACAAAACAATACTGAATTTAAAAAAAAAGTAACATCATGTCTGCAACTTACTCCAAAACAGTTCAAAACTAATAGATACCAAAATACTTATCTCTGCATATGTCATAAAAAATCCATATTTACATGTGTATATGTGTGTACATACATAGAGGAGAAGACAGAAGCAAAGAGTGGGAATATGATAAAGCAAATGTAGTAAAATGCTAACATTAGGACAATGTGCATGAAGGACAGCTGACAATTCTTCATAGAATTCTTAGAATCCTTCTGTGTTGGAAATTATTTCAAAATGAAAAATTTTTTAAACACCAAAGGGCAGGGGGTGGGGCAGTGCTTATTTAACAAAATTAAAACACCATTCACTCATTAAACATTTACTGAACACTTACTGCAGGTCAGACACTAGTAAATAGCAGAAGACACACTAGATAAAAATTCCTGCCTTCACACAACTTACATTCCAGTTGTAGGAGAGAGACAATAAGCAAGTAAGTAAAATGTATGTTACGTTAGCGCAAGGGGAAAACAGTTAAGTCATATTGGGTAGAGGTGGCGATTTGCAATGTTAAACACATC
Organism: Homo sapiens; assembly: GCF_000001405.40. Classification (NCBI taxonomy): domain Eukaryota; kingdom Metazoa; phylum Chordata; class Mammalia; order Primates; family Hominidae; genus Homo; species Homo sapiens. Next base: position 136,619,472 of record NC_000003.12, read on the forward strand.
TTTAGGCCTGGCGTGGTGGCTCACGCCTGTAATCCCAATACTTTGTGAGGCTGAGGCTGGTGGATCACTTCAGGTCGGGAGTTCAAGCCAGCCTGGCCAACATGGTGAAACCCTGTCTCTACTAAAAATACAAAGATTAGCCAGGTGTGGTGGCGCATGCCTGTAATCCCAGCTACTTGGAAGGCTGAGGTGGGAGAATTGCTTGAACCTGGGAGGCAGAGGTTGCAGTGAGCCAAGATCGTGCTACTACACTCCAGATTACGCAACAGCGCGAGACTCTGTCTCAAAAAAAAAAAAAAAAAAAAAAAGGAGAGGCCGGGGTAGCGGTTCCTGCCTGTAATCCCAGCACTTTGGGAGGCTGAGGTGGGACGATCAGTTGAGCCCAGGAGTTTAAGACCAGCCTGGACAACATAGTGAGACCCGGTCTTCACACAAAAATAAATCAGCCATGCGTGGTGGCGTGCGTCTGTAGTCCCAGCTATTCAGGAGGCTGAGGAGGTGGGAGAACTGTTTGAGCCCAGGAGTTTGAGGATGCAGTAAGCCACAGTTGCGCCACTGCACTGCAGCCTGGGTGACAGAGTGAGATCCTGTCTCAAAAGAAAAAATAAAATAAAATAAAATAAAACATAAAATAGAAGTAAAGGAAACAATACTGCCTATAATAGAAACTCCTTATATTATTTGTTTTTGACTGGCTAAATGAAAACCAAAGATACAAGAAATGCCTTTTAAAAGTAATAAATTTTAAAAGGATTAAACTTAAAAAAAGAAGTGATGAATAGTATTACTACAGCTAAACAAAGAATGCTATCAGTTAAAACTTGATTTATTGTTCAAAATGCAGCTAGTTGATAGAAAATGTCCAATATTTCTTCATAATAGGTACCTGAGGCAGGACTCCAATCTGATCATTCTGACAATTATAACTCTCAAGATTAATTAACAGCTTGGCATTCTGGCTTCCTTAAGAGAAACAGTGTGGGAGTTATCATATAAATTCAAATCCTAGCTTTCCCATTTACTTGCTGTGTGACCTTAGGCAAATTACCACTTTTTAACTTCATATTCTACTCTGTAAACTGCATCTAAGACCTATTTCATAACACTAGTGTGAGGATTAAATAACATAAAAAGCCAAAACAAAGCTCAAAGTAGAAATTCAGGAAGTTGTTTATGTTACATTGTTGGCACAATCAAGAAATGGGACTGATTGAGTTAGGTGGAAGTACAGACAGCCATGTGAACTAATTTGTGTGAATGTATAGACTGAAATATAAATAAAACAAATTTCTAGAATACTACTTTCTTATACTGGTTGACATTTTTTCAATACTGTAAATATGGCATGAACATGCACTATTTACTTACTAGATTATGTAGTAGTAACTTCAGTAAAAATCAAGTATTTCCTACCACAAAAGGGTTAAGCATTTGGGTACACAGACTTCTTTTCATCAAAAAAGCACAACATTGGTGAAACCCCATCTCTACTAAAAAATACAAAAAATTAGCTGGGTGTGGTGGCGCACGCCTGTAGTCCCAGCTACTCAGGAGGCTGAGGCAGAAGAATCACTTGAACCCAGGAGGCACGGGTTGCAGTGAGCCAAGATCATGCCACTGCACTGCACTCCAGCCTGGGCGACAGAGTAAGGTTCCGTCTCAAAAAAAAAAAGGTACAACATTACAAGGATTCAGCTGTACACACATAAAACTTAAACAGGTTCTAACGAATTATACAATAGCCTGCTGGTGGGGTGGTAAATTCTCTTTAGGAAAAATAAAAAAGTTTCTTTAAGGAGACAGTACTTAATCTGAATCCTGTAAGTGAAGAATTTCAAGTTGGGGAGAACAAATTCAAGTAAGCAAACATGTGGGCAATTCATTCTCCTACCTTTAAGCAAATCTAGTCTTATTTCCAATTCTGCAGTTATATCCTGAGATTGCCAGGATAGCAATGAAACTTGCCTATGGTCTCAGAAAAATCACATGGTAGTAATGGGAACTAGAATAGTCAACAGCTTCCAAGTGCAAAACTCTCACTTTTCCCAAAATACGTTTGTAAAGAATACTGTACCACCAAATACTTCTACAAATGAAGAAATAATACAAAAAGTTACTATACTGCATGTCTTCCCCCATTATTTTTTTCCTTTAAATAAAAGTAGAGGATAAAAGCAAGTGTATAGCAAAATACAAGAAGTCTTTCATCTTGTTTTTTATTTTAAGGTTGGCCTGGAGGAGTAATTAATTAAAAATTCTGGCAAACAAGAGGGAAAAATGACTTAACTTATCAAAAAACCAGTCTTGTTGTGTAACTCACTGTAAAAGACATATAGACAATAACTGGTTAAGCAACATAACCATCAGTTGCAGGGGGTGGATCATTCCTGTGTCATGACTCTAACCACCGAACTAGATTTTAAATGTTCATAAGATGATTACAAACTATAAAACTGGCTATTTGGTGATATTAATAAAATATTTTATACTGGGACTTCACAATGATATTGTGGTGGTGTGGAAAAAAAAAAAAAAAAAAAAGAGGGCTGGGTGCGGTGCCTCAGGCCTGTAATCCCAGCACTTTGGGAGGCTGAGGCGGGTGGATCACCTGATGTCAAGAGTTCGAGACCAGCCTGGCCAACATGACGAAACCCCATCTCTACTAAAAAAAAAAAAAAAAAAAAAAAGAAAAGAAAAAATTAGCTGGGCATGATGGTGAGGGCCTATAATCCCAGCTACTCAGGAGGCTGAGGCAGGAGAATCGCTGAACCCAGGAGGTGGAGGTTGCAGTGAGCCAAGATTGTGCCATTGCACTCCAGCCTGGGCAACAGAGTGAGACTCGATCGGTGGGGGGGAAAGAAGAAACAGGCCCTTATTTTTAGCAATACACACTAAAATATTTACAGATGGAATGATGTCTAGAATGACCTTAAAAATAACATAGGATGGAAAAAAAGGAGGAGGGGTGATGAGATGAAACAAGATTGGTCATGATTTGATAAATGCTAAATCTGGGTAATGGCTATATGGTGGGTTCATTATATGATGTCTCCTATTAAAAGGAGGCTAAGAGTTTCCATTAGAAGAATTTTCATAAAATAGAAAAGAATTACTAATAGCAAATCACATCATAAAAGCAAACATAGAACAGTATAACCCTTAACCCCTTGACAAGCAGATAACAGTATCTTCTATAGGGTTTATGCATGCTTAAATTATGACTGATGCTCGTACAATACATTAAGCTATCTCTCAAAGTAGGATTATCTAGAGCTCTTCTAAACTTCCCAATCAGGTTATCAATGAGAATATACTCTGAGACTGGCCCCAAACTCCAAAACAGTACTTGGGAGCTCATAAGAAATCAGAGTTGCATCTGAAAAGCAGCAAGTCTTAACTAACTAAACCTCATTCACTGTTAGTGACCTTCTCTATGCCTTCACATGGACTACCATTTATTTACAAAGAGAAGGAGGGCAACAAAATCATACTACAATCATCTCCTTTTTCTGATCACTGCCAAGACAATTTATGTGAAAAAAAGTTTCCAATCTCTATTGTGTCACTGAATTTTTTTTAAGTATTAACCATACTAGCACTAGAATTAACAACTCATATAAACTCATTAACACGGTCACTATTAAAGGAACAAAGAAGACAAGCATAATACATACTGGAGGCCGGCCAGGACGACCCCTTTTTCTTTTTCCTTTGACCTCTGTTTCTTCAAGCTCGCTGCCAGCATCGGAATGGGCAGTAGTTTCATTAGTTGAATCCCTAGAAAATGTTATATTATTTTAGCGAACAAATTAATAAGTATAATGCATTTCTGTTTCACTACTTTCCTTACCACCTGCTATATGGCTGATTAGAAGTGGTTTATACTTCTACTTTCAGAGAAACTCTCTAGCAAACTAAAAATGTTATCCTCCCTTCCTAATTTCACATAACAGTGAGTGAAATGAATCCCCCAAATAAAGAGGGAAATGAAGAGGAAGAAATGATTGTGGAAATGATAGCTGCTATACAAAAATAAATGCAAAATATAACTGCAAAAGACTAATTCTTCAGTACAAAAATATGAAGGCTTAGGAATATTTTTATTTATTTTGTTTATTTTATAAAGTCATGAAGGGCAGTGTTATGCCAGTCTTTTCAAAAAAAAAATACAAACACCTAAGTTATAAGTATTAAGACATACGGCCGGGCACGGTGGCTCATGCCTATAAATCTCAGCACTTTGGGAGGGTGAGGCAGGCGGATCACCTGAAATCAGAATTTGGGACCAGCCTGGCCAACATAGTAAAACCCCATCAGTACTAAAAGTACAAAAATCAGCCGGGCATGGTGGCGCATGCCTGTAATCCCATCTACTCAGGAGGTTGAGGGAGGGGAATCATTTGAACCCGCGGAGGTTGCAGTGAGCCGAGATTACGCCACTGCACTCCAGCCTGGGCAACAGGGCAATACTCTGTCTGAAAACAAAATAAACCAACAAAAAAGACATAAAGGATACTTAGCATATAATTTACAAACAATAATAAAACACAAAACACTCTTTATTGTAAATTCCACATAACCGATTCTCACAAAATAATTTTAAAGATAATTTTTGCCCAACTCTTATATTGGAATCTTTTTTTTTTTGAGACAGTCTCACTCTGTCGCCCAGGCTGGAGTGCAGTGGCACAATCTCAGCTCACTGCAAGTTCCAACTCCCGGGTTCACACCATTCTCCTGCCTCAGCCTCCCAAGTAGCTGGGACTACAGGCACCCGCCACCAGGCCCGGCTAATTTTTTTTGCATTTTTAGTAGAGATGGGGTTTCACCGTGTTAGCCAGGATGGTCTCGATCTCCTGACCTCATGATCCACCTGCCTCGGCCTCCCAAAGTGCTGGGATTACAGGTGTGAGCCACCGTGCCCAGCCAATTATTGGAATCTAACCTACAGCTGCAACTGATGAATGAATAGGAATTTTAACATGAAAGGTGGTTTCTATTTTTGTTCACTTTAATGAGTAGGATGCAAGTAAAATTATAAAGACATTTGTTGAAACTTCATTCATTAGTCAATGGTGTGAGCAACTTCTCTGCTGACTCAGATAAGGGCTGAGGAAACATGCTTCCTCAATTTTTTGTTATTGTATTGTAATGGGTATAGACCATCCGATACACCTTTAAGTTGAATCTGCATTGTTAACAATTTCTCTATCACTTTCTTAAGTCTATAATCAACAAAACAATAAATTAAGCATTGATTTTTATCATTTGCTGATTTTCACGGTGTACATATTCCTACCATAGCCAATTTCAAATGACCAAAGTGGCATAACCAAAGTGAGGTGGGAAGTGACAAACAGTAGTACAGCATTAAAACATATTTCTACCACAAAGACACAACAGGTTTAAATAACAACTTCAAGAGCATAAATAGTAACATGAAATAATTAGGAAGTGATGAATTTTGAGTATTTACTATTTTTATTTTTCATATGACATTTAATTTAAGCTTATATAAGTTAACTTTTTAAAACAGATATGTTGTGTTTAGCTACCTTGCAAAATTCCTAAAAATTTAATATTTAACTCTCACAGGCCAATACAAGCTGGCTTCAACACAGCATTGAAAAGGTTTAGACAGCATGAACAAGAATCTCTTCACTAAATTCTACATTACTGCATAAAATTGTAAAGAGTAGGAAAAGTACATAGCAAATGGTAAGTCCAACTCACAATCTACTATTTCTCAATCTCCTTCACCAAATGCTCTTTTAGGCTCATTCCCTCTTCCTTAAAGCTCAACTGTTAGGTCTGCTCTTCTCCATTTATATTACACTCCCTTGGAGATTTCATCCAGTTAATGTGTAACTTCTATGCAAATGACTTCAATACCCTATCAGTACACCTGACCGCATTCCAGATCTCTGACTCAGGATTTTTATCTTGCATGCATGACATACTTACTTGAATGCCACCTCAAATTCACCAAATGCCACATCTAAAATTGAATCCAATCCTGACTTACCTCTGACTTTCTACTCACAGAGATACAATTAATTAACTGATTTAAGTTATGCATACGTATGCTTTAAGTTATTATACAAATTTATTGTCACCATTATCCTGTCTATAAACTCGAATTGATAGAATGATATCAGTCTTCTTGTGCCTCCTGCTAACATAATCCTACCTCAGCCATCCTTCTCAGAACAATATAATCTGTTTCTCACTCTTTCCAGGATTATTACCACAATCACCACTCCCCATGATAATCTCAATTTATCTCCCTACTGCTGCTTATTCAAGCCATTCTACACACCGCTGCCAGTAATATTCTCACATCATTACTTACCCACTTGTAAATCTTCAAAGTTATCATATTACTCTAACTTATATATCTTTAAAGTTAATCTGGTATTTAAAACCATAAATAAGACTGGGCGCAGTGGCTCATGCCTGTAATCCCAACACTTTGGGAGGCTGAGGCACGAGAATCGCTTGAACCCGGGAGATGGACGTTGCAGTGAGCAGAGATAGCACCACTGCACTCCAGCCTGGGCGAAAGAGTAGAACTCTGTCTCAAAAACAAACAAAACAAAACAACAAAAATGAAACTATAAATAATATTGTAAATGATGTCCAGGGTCAGCAAGCTTTTTCATAAAGATCCATACAGCCGGGTGCAGTGGCTCATGCCTGTAATCCCAGCACTTTGGGAGGCCAAGGCCAGCAGATCATGAGGTCAGAAGTTCGAGACCTACCTGGCCAACATAGTGAAACCCCTTCTCTACTAAAAATACAAAAATTATCCAGGCATGGTGGTGTGCGCCTATAGTCCCAGCTACTTGGGAGGCTGAGGCAGGAGAATTGCTTGAACCCACGAGGCGTAGGTTGGCCGAGCCAAGATCACGCCACTGCACTCCAGCCTGAGCAACAGAGTGAGACTACATCTCAAAAAAAAAAAAAAACCAAAAAAACAAAAAACCATACAGTATATATTTTAGGCTTATGGGTCTTAAGTTCTCTATAGCTACTACTCAACCCTGGTGACATAACATAAATGCAGCCATATGCAATATGCAAATTAATGGGTGTGGCTATGTTTCAACATTTTATTTAAAAGAGGCATCTGAACCACTAGCAGTATTTGCCAACCCGGATCCAGTCAATCTTATTTGTCTCTACTAAAGAACAATGAATCATACTGCTTTTTCTCCTCACTACAATCCAAATAGGCCATGTTCAGTATAGACTATGTGTCAGTTTACATATGTTATCTATAATACATATGCACAAAAACCTTGTAAGAAGCATGTTATCTTCCTGATTTTATGAATGAGGAAATGAAAGATCTGAAAACCCGATAAACTTGTCCACAGTCGCACACTTAGTAAGTGGCAGAGTCCAGTTAGATCTCAAGATCAACCTGAATTTTCTATTTTCATGTTAAGATACTACAATGCAAATACTATGTTTCGTATTTATCTTGTGTGGACAAAATCTCCAAGTGCTTTTGATGCTTACAAGTGTCCAGGCAACTATAGGAGCAGGTTGGTTCTAGAATATAATTACTGACCCATTAGTGAAACTAACCTATTCTTCAGCAGTATTGTTTATTGATGCCCCTACCAAGAGTCAGAAAAGTACAATTTGTTTAATAATGCTGCCAACTGCAGTCAGCTTAAACAGTGAGAACTATTGCCAACAAACAGCTAATGCACTGTTATGTGTTAGTATGTGTATGTTTAATTATTAAGACATAAGAAAACAAATTCTAGGCTTTTGAAAAAGAAAATTTCGAGCAACAGAAAATATATAAGAATACAAGGAAAAGTTTCACTTTATCTCATCCTAACTCTGAATCCCATCTGCAGAATACCACTGTTAATAGTTTGACGCTGCCATAAATATTTAGGCTTTTGCATCTCTCTGTCTCTCTCTCTCAAAATATAAATATCAATATTTCAATTTTTTAAGTGTTACATACATGAGAATCTTCCATATAAATATTTTAGATTCCTGAATGGCACTCCATAATATGCACTGAACTTATTTAGCTACTTCCTTATCAATGAGCACTTAGTTTGTCTCTAGTTTTGCACTATTACAAACAGGGCTGAAATGACTGTTCTTGTACATAAATAAATCTTACTACATAATCAAGTTTCTCTTTAGGATATATGCAGTGAAAATGACAGGTCAAGGGGTATGGAAATTCAAACTTTGACCAATTGCTCTTCAAAACTCCTGCAAATGGCTAATGTTCACATTTATAACACTACTAGACATAAATTAAGAGCATGGAAGAGTAAGATCAAATCTTGTTTAAAAAATGATTTTGCTCCCTAGAGCTCTCTAAATTCTGTCTACCTCTTTCTATCTCCAGGGTAACTAGTTTATCATCTTTTCCCTAGATACTGCAACATCCTTCTCCTGACAGGTCTCCTTGTTTCTAGTGTTGGCCTTTCCCATCTAATACTATACTGCACCAAGTAACTTTCTAAGTATATAGCTTATTATATCTCTATCATGCTGATACGGTTTGGCTCTGTGTCCTCACCAAAATCTCATCTCGAACTGTAATCCCCACCTGTCGAGGGAGGGACCTGGTGGGAGGTGACTGGATCACGGGAGCAGTTTCCTCTATGCTGTTGTTGTGATAGTGAGTTCTCACGAGATCTGATGGTTTAAAGTGTGGTACTTCCTTCCACTCCCCCACTTCTCTCTCTCCTGCTGTCTTGTGAAGAAGGTGCTTGCTTCCCCTTCACCTTCCTGAGGCCTCGCCAGCCATGCCATGAGTCAACTAAATCTCTTTTCTTCATAAATTACCCAGTTCCAGGTAGTTCTTTATAGCAGTGTGAAAATGGAATAATACACATAGTGAAGAGAAAAAAACATAATTCTGAACATGACTTAGCAGGTACTGATATGATATTGTTCCTCCCTACTCACAGTTTATCTCATGTCACTCTCCATCCCCAGTGCTGGAGAAAAAAAAGGGGTGGGGGGAGGCTTTATTTCAGGCCTTCAAACATATCGCAGGGTCCTTGCATGACATAATCTCAGTCTGGGCCTAATAGCCTGCTCCCTTCTTCTTCTCCTAAACCCCACTTAAGACCTCAGTTCAACTGTCTCTTCCTTAGAAAAGTAGACTAAACAAAGGCATGTGTTAAAATTCTCATAATACCTCCTACTTTTCCTTCACAGCACCAATGATAGTTTAGAACTATGTATTTGTGATTATTTGATTTATATCTAACTTTACAAGCTTCTTTGCAAAAAGAACTAAGTCTGCTCTACATGTTATATCTACCCAGAACCTAGTAGGCTTCCCGGAATATAAAATGTAGTAAATGATAATGTTTTGACAATGCTTAATAGTAAACAGCACTAAGGTGACAAATCCATCAGCAATTACAATATCTAAGTAAGCCAAGAAATAATAAGGATAATCACTAGAGTGGTCTTTATAGTGTCTACATTTTAAAACCAAAATTGGACATCTCAATTTAACCAAGAGTACCATCTTCGGCTGACAGATCTAAACCAGAGCTCATTTATCCAGCTCCCAGATCACCACTGTCCAGTACCCACAGACATATTACAGATTTACATTCTTTTGAAAAAAATTCACTCACAAAGCATGATATATTAGATATAATGTCAATACAAACTCATGTAATACAACTTCAATTTAAATATAACCTCTGTTTCATATTTTATCAAAGAGCTATTAAAGGCCTACCTAATACCCAACAGTGTCCTAGCAGCAGGACATACAAAAATAAGGCACACAATGCAGTTTAGGAGATGGGTCAGAAAAAACAAGAGACAATTATAAAATGTTACATTAAGTACTTTTCTGGAGGCATAAGACCTGAGCTAAGACTTAAATAGATAGTGGCTTGGCCAGGTAAGGGCAGAAGTGTATAAGTACAAAGAAAAGAAAGAAAATACTATAAGGGGCCCTCCAAACTTAAATATCATATAAATATGGTATTTATACCATATTTATATATGTTCATATATTTATATATATGATATCATGCTCAGGTACAGGGGTAAAAAAGAAATAAGTAGGCAGAAATAAATTTTATCTCCCATATGTCGGCGAAAGGACAGGAGGACAGTATTGATGGTTTTTCAAGCGGTTTAAAGAAATTTGGATAGCTCTGTGTCTTAGAATGCTGGAAGGGAAAAAAAGAAGGCCAAGAGATCAATCAGAGGTTCTCTCTTGAAAATAAGGTATGTAAATGAACTGAGTAGTAATAATATATAAATAACTGCTTAAAGTGCTCATCACTTTTATTATATCTAAACCATTGTTATACAGAATCAAAGTATGCAGATTCCCGACTTGCATCATGATAAAAGCTATGAAAGGAACAATATCTGCCATTCCTGTGATCACATTTCCCAGAATAAGTCCCAATTCTAAATCTGGCCAGGCACAGTGACTCATGCATGTAATCCCGGCACTTTGGGAGGCTGAGGTGGGCAGACCACCTGAGGTCAGGAGTTCGAGACCAGCCTGGCCAACATAGTGAAACCCGTCTCTACTAAAAATACAAAAATTAGCCGGGCATGGTGGCACGTGCCTATAATCCCAGCTACTCAGGAGGTCGAGGCAGGAGAATCGCTTGAACCCGGAAGGCAGAGGTAGCAGTGAGCCGAGATCGCACCACTGCATTCCAGCATGGGCAACAGTGGAAAATTCCATCTCAAAAGAAAATAAAAATAAAAATAAGTCCCAATTCTAAATCTGTCCTTAACTCCAACAAATCTAATGGGACGCCATCAAAAATGTCAACTGGTGTATCCCTTACATTTCTTCTGGTAGCCGGAACACCTCAACAATCTCAATCTAAGGAAAAAGAAAGAATCATAATAAAAGAGCTGGAAGTGAGCAGGGAGGGGGGGTAGAGAAGGGGTAGAGAAAGAGTATGGTATAAGATAGGTGACACCAAACTATTTTTTGTAAATGGCCAGACTAAATATTTTAGGCTTTCCACGCAATACTATCACTGTCACAACTTGTAATACAAAGTAGTCATAAACAGCATGTAAAGGAATGAGTATGGCTCTCATCCAAAATTTTATTTTGCAAAAAGAGACAACATGCCATATTTGGCCCATGGGCCACAGTTTGCTGACTCCTGATATAGGACATTAACATCTTTTTTGTTGAATATCAGAAAACATGTTGACAGTTCAATAGCAAAAGCCATGAATGGATACGGTAATTACACACCCTACTACTACTTACACTGCAAAGATATTGTCCCAATATCAAAGAACATATTTGAAATGTATCATCGAAGAGAGCATTTTGATAAAGAAATAAGTTGTCCAAAATTTTCCTTAAAAAATATAAAAAAAAGAAAATTACAATACTTACTGTAACACTGGTAATTCTGAAGTAATCATTGCTGGAGAGGTCCTTTCACAATGCAGCAAAATAATCAAGTGCTGTACAACTCAAAACTTTTAAAATAACCTCAAAGGCAATCCTGTCAATTAAAAAAAAGAAATTATTTTAAAATAAAATGAGGATGACAAAATTCATAAACTACAATCAATCCACACCACTACCAGTGATCACACTACTTGGCATTTACCCAAATGAGCTGAAAACCAATGTCCACAGATGTTTATAGCAGTTTTATTCATAACTGCCAAAACTTGGAAGCAACTAAGATGTTCTCACTAAGTAAATGAATAAATAAACTACGCACATCCTCACAGTGAAATATTATTTGGCATTAAAATTAGCTTGAGAGCCTTGAAAAGGCATGAAAGAACCTTAAATATTATTAAGTAAAGAAGCCAATCTGAAAAGGATACATACTGCATGATTCCAACCATATGACATTTTGGAAAAGGCAAAACTATGGAGCCAGTAAAAGAATCGGTGGTTACCAAGGATTTAGTGGGTGGAAGGGATGAACAGGCAGATCACAGAAGATTTTTAGGGCAGTGAAACATGTGTGATGGATGTGTCATTACAGATTTGTAAAAACAGCAGGAGTCCAAAAACAGCAAGACACCAACAGCAAGAGTCAACCCTAATTTAAAGTAGCAACTTGGGGTGATAGTGACTTGTCAATATAGGTTGATCAGCTGATAAAAAATGTTCTCTCGTGCAGGACGTTGATAGTACGGTAGGCTGTGCACGTGTAGGGACAGAGAATATAAGCAAACACTCTTTACTTTTCCTTCAAATTTGCTGTGAACCTACAATGGCTCTAAAAAACATAAAGTCTCATATTTTTCAAAAGCAGGGGTAGTAGGACCTAACAGTCCACACTAGGCCATTATACCGTATCAAATGGAATAACACAGGTATAGTTACAATTCCGGACAGAAAGACAAAGTACAAGGCAGAATAAATATTTGAAGAGATATAATGGGGAAGAATGTTCAAAAAATCATGTAAGATATCAAAACAGATGTAAGATCAGAGAATTCCCAAGCAGAATACATCAAACTACACAAACTGCTAAAAACCACAGTTAAAGGGAAAATTCAAAAGGAAGCTAAAGAAATAGGATACATACATACAGAAAGACAAAGATCAGTATCAGTCTTCCTAATGGAAACTATGTAAGTTCAAAGACAATGGAGTAACATCTTAAAAGTACTGACAGAGGGGGAAAAAAAAAGTCAACCCTGAATTACATACCAAGTGATAATCTTTCAAAAAAATGAAAGGAGTCATACCATGGGAAATCGATGAGTAGAAAACTTCAAGAATAAGCCTCTCCAGTGAAACAACACTTGGGTTGACAAAAACTGAAATCAACTTTTACAGAATTCCTGAATCTAATAAAACTTACAAAGAGAGGGGTGCTTAACAAAGAAAGAAGCTGCAAAATTTGGTGAGAAGGCACTATGGCGTCTTTTGCTTACTTGCCTACCATCGCCCATTCCCCAACTCAACAGTGTCAATGAGGACAGCAGATCAAACTCTTGGTGCAACTTGCTGGTACCTGTGGGAGCAATACCAACTTCCTTCTCAAAAATGATAGCTGTGCATTTTGAAGAGATTCCCAGCTGGCATCTGCTGAAAGGATTTAAATATATATACTACACATAAGCTCTCTGGGGTAAGAGACAGCATACAAGACAAGCAGCAATATGTAAAGCCTTAGAATAAAGAGTCTAAGGAGGAAAATATGTTACGGACTAAGGGCTTTCAAAGACTCCCACGTATTCTGGGGAATTCAAGGTGCTACACGCATGCCCAAGGCTAAAAGCATGGTCAGAGGAGGCCTGAGAGAAGCATAGGCTTGCACCTCTAATTGATCTTTGAGCTCTGTGCAAGCAGAAGATGAAGACTAAGGCCAAGCTGCAAATGGCCAGGCTATTTATTGCAAAAATACTTCCGCAAAGAACCTATCTGCAAATACCCACAGAGGGTTTTTCCCTCTTTTGGGTGCCAATTCTTTAGGTAAATCTATCAGGTTACTGGTTTGACCACCAAGATGAAAAATGTCAGTGTCCACACAGGACAATAAAGACAGTCTTGGCAAAAGTAGTTGGGGGAGGGCGGGGAATCACTAAATAAACAGATGACTATAGATTTTAACAGTCAGTAAAATCAAACAGGGCATGGGGGAGGTGAAAGGATGATTCCCAGAGTGAAAACATTTTAATATTCAAAATGTCCATTTTTTTAATGTTAATGTTTGAATTTGTCCAGCAGGCTTTCCAGTTTCGGCCAGAAAGTACCCCCACCCCGGCCCCAAAATAAAAATTAAAAAATGTGATCATTGAAGTAAAAAAGGCAGTAGGATGACATAACTAAAGTGCTGAAAGAAAAACCATCAAAAAAGAACTATATAACCAGTAAAACTATCCCTCAAGGGAGAAATTAAGACATTCATAGAAAAATAAGAGCAGAAGGAATTTGTCCCTAGACATGCCCTACAAGAAATGCTAAAGGGAGGCCAGACATGGTGGCTCACGCCTGTAATCCCAGCACTTTGGAGGCTGAGGCAGGTGGATCACTTGAGGTCAGGAGCTCCAGATCACCCTGGCCATCATGGTGAAACCCCATCTCCACTAAAAATACAAAAATTAGCCAGGTGTGGTGGCAGGTGCCTGCAATCCCAGCTGCTTGGGAGGCTGGGACAGGACAATCACTTGAACTCGGAAGGCAGAGGTTGCAGTGAGCTAAGATTGTGCCACTGCACTCCAACCTGGACAACAGAGCAAAAGTTTCCATATCAAAAAAAAAGGGGGGGGGGGGGGTCAGGGGCACAGATATTATAGGCCGAGGCAAGAGGATCACTGGTGGGGGCCAGGAGTTCGAGACCAGCCCAGGCAGAATATATAGAGACTCCATCTCTACAAAAAAATTTAAAAACTGGCCAGGCACAGTAGCCCACGCTTATAATCCCAGCACTTTGGGAGGCTGAGGCGGGCGAATCACTTGAGGTCAAGAGTTTAAGACCAGACTGGCCAACATGGTGAAACCCTGTCTCTACTTAAAAAAAAAAAAAAAAAAAAAAAAAAAAATTAGCCAGGCATGGTGGCAGGCACCTGAAGTCCCAGCTACTCAGGAGGCTGAGGCAGGAGAATCACTTGAACCCAGGAGGCGGAGGTTGCAGTGAGCCAAGATCGTACCACTGCACTCCAGTCTCGGTGACAGAGTGAGACCTTGTTTCAAAAAATAATAAATAAATAAACATAAAAAAAATTTTAAAAAGGCAAAAACAAAATTTTAAAACTAACCAGGCGTGGTGGCACACACCTGTGGTTCCAGCTACTCTATTCGAGAGGCTGAGGTGGGAGGATCACTTGAGCCTAGGAGGTTGAGGCTACAGTGAGCCATGACTGGGCCACTACACTCCAGCCTGGGGTGACAGAGACCCTGCTTCAGCCCCCAAAACAAACAAACAAAAAAAAAACCAGGGCACCATATAATGGGGGGGTCCCCAATTCATTTCCTTACAAACATATAAAAAATCATAAAGTTATAAACCCTTAACAACAGAATCTCAAAATTTTTTTTTAAAAACCAGAGAAATTAGAATACTTGGAGATAAATGAAACAAAAACACAATATATCAAAATGTATGGGATGCAGCAAAAGCAGTGCTCAGAGGAAAATACAGTTGTAAAAATCAAGCTTTTAGGGAAAAAAAAAAAAAAAGCTCAAATAAATGACCTAATTCTACAACTGAAGAAAAAAAATACAAAGGGCAAACTAAGCCCAAAGGCAGCAAACTGAAGAAATAATTAGTGCACAGATAAACTATATTGAGATTAGAAAAACAATACAATCAATAAAACCACAAGTTTGTTGTTGGAAAAGGTAAACAAAATTGACATATCTTTAAATAAAATGACTTTTGAAAAAAAGAGAGAAGGGGCAAAAGAATACGGTAAACAACATATGTCCACAAATTTAGTAACATATTAAATGGACAAATTCCTAGAAATGCACAAATCGTCAAAACTGGCTCAAAAAACACAAAAAATGTGAAAAGAACTATAACGAGACACTGAATCAGTTATCAAAAATCTCCCCAGGAAGAAAAGCCCAGGACCAGATGGCCTTACTGCTTAATTATACCAAACATGGTTTAAAAAGAATTAACATCAATCTTCCAAAAAAGAGACAAGAAGGAACTACTTTCGAATTCATTCTGTGAGGCATTTCTGTAACACCAAACTACACAAAAACACTACAAGAAAATTACACATCAATATCTCTAATAAACATATATGTGAAAATCCTCAACAGAAACATCAGCAAATCAAAACACACAATGTGTAAAAAGAATTTTACATGAAGACCAAGTGGGATTTATCTCAGTCATGCAAGGCTGGTTCAACATTCAAAAATCAATTAATATAATACATCATATAAAGAGCCAAAAAAGAAAAACTACATGATCATACCAAAAGACAAAGGAAAAGCACTTGACAAAATCCAACACCCATTCATAATAAATACTCTCAGTAAATGAGAAATATAGGGGAACATTCTCAACTCGATAAAGAGTATCTCCAAACGCTGCAGCTAACATCACATGTAATGGAGAGAAACTCAAAGCTTTTCCGGTTAAACCAGGAAAAAAGCTAGGATGCTATTCTCAACCACTCCTTTTTCACATCACACTGGAAATCCTGGCTAATGCGACAAGAGAAAGAAAATAAACAAAAGGTACATAGCTTGGGAAAGAAGAAATAAAACTTTATTTCCAGATGACAAAACTGTCTATATAGAAAATCTGAAAGAACTGACAAAGGCAAAATAAAACAACTCTTGGAACTAATAAGCTATTATAGCAAGGTTTCAAGATACAAGGCTAATATATAAAAGTCAATCACTTTGCTGTAGACGATGAACAAATATAATTTTAAATGAAAAACACAGTATCATTTGCATTCACATCAATGAATTAAATTCTTAGGTGTAAATCCAACAAAATACGTAGAATCTATATAAGAAAAACAATAAAATTGTAATGTAAGAAATCCAGAGGCCGGGCACCATGGCTCACGCCTGTAATCCCAGCACTTTGGGAAGCTGAGGCAGGTGGATCACCTGAGGTCAGGAGTTCAAGACCAGACTGGCCAACATGGTGAAACCCCATCTCTACTAAAAATACAAAAATTAGCCAGCCATGGTGGTACGCGCCTGTAATCCCAGCTACTCGGGAGGCTGAGGCAGGAGAATCACTTGAACCCAGAAGGCAGAGATTGCAGTGAGCCGAGACCACGCCATTGCACTCCAGCCTGGGCACCAAGAAAGAAACTCTGTCTCAAAAAAAAAAAAGAAAGAAAAGAATCTCTTAGCAATGTATACACACACAGACATACAACGCAGGTGGTGGTAGTGGGGTGCCACATGATTTGCTAAGCAAATCAAAAATTATAATTATGACAATGATGTTATTTGTGAAGCCACTTTTCAACAGTTTCTGTAAGTGGTACTCCATCTACATAGAAGAGATAGACTCATTTACTATTTTTAATGGAATTTAACTATTTTACTCATGTTTATATCAAATCAAGTATATTAACAGAAAACTTTTTATTGAATATAACATACATGAATATACACTAAGTCTTAACGTCAACCATGGGTTCTTGGAAACTAAGAGTTAAAGCAAAATGACATGTAACAAAACCAATTTTAGCATAGGCTAACTGATATAAACAATAGTTAAGTTCCTACAGCATACTTCTGGTCACAAAAAAATCAGCAAACTTCTAAACAAACACCAAAACATTTAAAATATTAAACACTAAAATAAATGTTAAGCTTTACATATATTTAAGAAAGATTAATTTTTAACAAGTCAGATAATTATTTACCCAATTATTCCAGCTCAGAATCGCAGGTGGCCAGAGCCTATCCCAGCAGCTCAGGGAGCAAGGTAAGAACAAACCCTGGACAGGTCACCATTCCATCACACAGGGCACTCACATACATACCTAAACTACTCATACTAGGACAATTTAGACATGTCAATTAACAGGCACATGCACATATCTGGTATGTGGGAGAAAACCAGAGTACCCAAAGAAAAGAAATCCACACAGACATGGGGAAAATGTGCAAACTCCGCACAATGGCCCCAGCAAGCAATCTATTTTTCTTTCCCTCATCAACATTATAACAAAATGATATTTGACAGCCTACTGTATACTTAAATTCTCTGTAGCATAAAGGTTTAAGTAGCATCAAGAAAATAAAGTTCCAAACTCTTTTCCCAGTAAAATTTAGCCTGTGAGACAGATTTTGTAGCTCTTTCAGTGAACAAAAAGAATGCCAAAAATAAAATTGGATTTTCCAAGTTGCACAGCAATTCACACGAAAAGATAAATAAGTAGGAAACATTAAGACTCAAGAAAGAGAGGAGTAATAAATCTTTTGAAAATATCAGCCTAGAAACTCTCAAACATTAAGCAGACAGAAGGATATTTTAAGCCAAAACTGAATGATGTGCTCAATGGGATAGCGATGAGGTTCACTGGCAACAGCAGGTTAGATCATTATTCTGCTCTTTCTCTCTGAATGTTGTACTGTAAAAGACTATTTTTAAAATATCTCAGTAACATAAACCTTAAAATCAAAAGAAATGTAAGAGTAATTTAAGAGTTTCGGTTCTGGGGCTCAATTACCTGAGTTCTCATACCACGTATTCTACTTTCTAGCTTTGCAACTCACTATGCCTAAGTATTCTCATACATCAAACTGGAATAAAAAAAGAACCCATATAGCATACAGTTATTGTGGTAAGTGACTGGAAGAGTACCTGGAACTCCAGAATGAATATTAATTCACAGCTACAGGAGGAAGACAAAAGCATAAAGGAATGTAAGTTTCATGAGGGAAGGTATTGTTTGTCCTTTTTGTTCACTTCTACATATGTGTGAACACATTTTTTTTTTTTTTTTAAGATGGGAGGTCTTGCTCTGTAGCCCAGGTTACAGTGCAGTGGAGCAATTCATAGCTCCCTGCAGCCTCCAACTCCTGGGCCCAAGTGATCCTGGCCACAGCCTCCAACTCCTGGGCCCAAGTGATCCTGGCCTCAGCCTCCCAAGTAGCTGGGACTAAGTACACGCCACTATGCCTGGCTAATTTTTTAAAAACTTTTTGTAGAAACAGGGTCTCACTTTGTTACCCAGGCTGCATTTTCTTTTTTTTTTTTTGAGACAGAGTTTTGCTCTTGTTGCCCAAGCTGGAGTGCAATGGCGCGATCTCAGATCTCAGCTCACTGCAATCTCCGCCTCCCAGATTCAAGCGATTCTCCTGCCTCAGCCTCCCAAGTAGCTGGGATTACAATTACCCACCACCACACCCAGCTAATTTTTTGTATTTTTAGTAGAGAAAGGGTTTCACCATATTTGTCAGGCTGGTCTCAAACTCCTGACCTCAGGTGATCCGCCTGCCTCAGCCTCCCAAAGTGCTGGGATTACAGGCATGAGCCACCAAGTCCAACCTCACTTCTATATTCTTAATGCTTGAAACCTAGTAAACAGTTGTTGAATTAAAAATATGTGTGTGTATATGTGTTTATGGATATATTTATTTTTAAGGAGAGTACACAAAGTTAAAAACAAGGAAAGCTCTTAGAGTTAGCAAACTAATCAAAGTTAGCAGCTTTCTTTTAAAAAACAAAAAATCATGGCTGGGTGCGGTAGCTCGCGCCTGAAATCCCAGCACTTTGGGAGGCCTAGGCGGACAGATCACCTGAGGTCAGAAATTCAAGACTAGCCTGGCCAACATGGTGAAAACTCGTCTCTGCTAAAAATACAAAATTAACTGGGCATGGTAGCATGCGCCCGTAATCCTAACTACTCGGGAAGCTGAGGTGGGAGAATTACTTGAACCCAGGAGGCGGAGGCTGCAGTGAGCCAGGATCACGCCATTGAACTCCAGCCTGGGCAACAGAGGGAGACTCTGTCCGTCTCTAAATAAATAAATAAATGCATGTTATTGATTGGATTGCTCTAAATTTAAGCAGCATTAAAAATGTCACAGTCTTTAAAACAGCTAACAAGTAAAAATGAACCTCAAGACAATTAACTTGCCTTATCCTAAATCACCCTGCACTAAATATATGAGAGAATGCTCACACACACACACACACCTTCCTGTCAAAATTACAAGTATTTATGTTCCCATGCATATTATAAGAAAAGTGAGTCTGGGCAACATAAGTAAGACTCCCATCTCAAAAAAAGAAAAAAGAAAAGAAAAAAAAAAGGCCTTGGAGTCCCAGCTACTCTATTCCAGAAGCTGAAGTGGGAGGGTCACTTGAGGCGAGGAGGTCAAGGATGCAGTGAGCCATGATTGGGCCACTACCTTCCAGCCTGGATGACAGAGCAAGACCCTGTCACCAAAAAGAAAAAAGGAAAGTAAATTATTATGATTTTTAAAAACTACAATTTTCCCCAAATTCAAATAACCACTATCACTCAACCTCTCTCCAGTTAAAAATTACATGCTTTTAAATATTTTACAAATCAATCTACATACTCATACAAATAAGAATTGTGTGACAACTAATAGCTTCATTAGGAAAAGCATATCACTAGTTTAGTGGCTGTACATAAGGAACAATAAAAATATTCCAAAAATGTCCTCTGGCTTAAGAAAATAAACATCTACTATTAAAGAGATCCTAAAAGAATTAACTAACAGTACTTACGAGAAAACTGTCTTTTATAAATACAACAAAACCTTACCAAAATAAGTAAGTTTGTATAGCCCCATGATTTTCATACAGAAATCATTTCAAGCGTTCATATAAACAAACATTGGCACTACCACAGCCATAAGAAAAAATTACAACATTTAACAAAAATACACATGGTGTTTTTAATATGGTAAAGAAAGCATCACTGAAGACCAATCTTTCTATTTTCAATTTCCTTTAAACTATGTATGTGTGTGAAAAAGTATACATGTATATATTAAACCCACTAAATGAAACTTCCCATAAACACTAAAATTTCTCCCACAATTTATAACTCAAGCTTAAAGGCCTTATCTAATCAACCCCCTTTCCACATAATTACTACAAAAATCACTCACAAAAACCTGTAAGTTTTTGAAGAAAGAATATGTACCTATTGAGTTTGATGATGCAGTGAAAAATTCTCTGGGACCACAATCCAGAATAAATGAGTTCTTAATAAATTCTATGGCTAAATGAACGTTTTAAAATAAGGCCAAAATCAAATAAAAGATAACAAGTTGTAGTGGTTCATTATTTTGTTGATTCATTTAGGAAAAGTTATTTTATAACAAAAAATTCCGAACAAATATTGTTTATTGAAAAATAAAGTATCTAATTTTGTGTGGTTACTTTAAATCCAAAGAGAGCTATTTGTGAGTTCTTCTCAAAACTACTGTTCCACCATTAGATAACTTTTTTTTTTTTTTTTTTGAGACGGAGTCTCGCTCTGTCGCCCAGGCTGGAGTGCAATGGCACGATCTCGGCTCACTGCAACCTCCACCTCCCGGGTTCAAGCGATTCTCCTGCCTCAGCCTCCTGAGTAGTTGGGATTACAGGTGCCCGCCACCATGCCCGGCTAATTTTTGTATTTTTAGTAGAGACAGGGTTTTGCCATGTTGGTCAGGCTGGTCTCCAACTCCTGACCTCAGGTGAACCGCCCGCCTCAGCCTCCCAAAGTACTGGGATTACAGGCATGAGCCACCGCACCTGGCCTGTTTTGTTGTTTTTTTTTTTTTTAGACAGAGTCTTGCTCGCCACCCAGGTTGGGGTACAGTGGCGCGATTTTGGCTTGCTGCAACCTGTGCCTCCCGGGTTCAAGCAATTCTCCTGCCTCAGCCTCCCGAGTAGTTGGGATTACAGGCGCCCGCCCCAACATGCCCGGCTAATTTTTGTATTTTTAGTAGAGACGAGGTTTTGCCATGTTGGCCAGGCTGGTCTCCAACTCCTCACCTCAGGTGATCTGCCCGCCTTGGCCTCCCAAAGTGCTGGGATTACAGGCGTGAGCCACTGCGCCCGGCCCCATTAAATAACATTTTATCTGAAAATCTGAAAGATCTTCCACATCTTGAACACTGCTATAATTAGGAAAAACCTCATGGTTTTCATATAAATATGAAACTGTAATGGATCCTAACATAATGAATAGAAGAGCTGTCTAAGAGTTTTTACAGATACAAAGTTGAATGAAAATTGGGGGAGAAGAGAAAGATTCTTCTTCAAGTAGAATAAATATAAACAAAATGACAGAAATAGGAAAATCACCATTTGAGGAACATCACAATATTTTTTCAGATGGGAATCAATAATGAATACTAATGGGCAAAAGTACAGTAACTCCAGGAAATCCTTTTTTTTAAAACGTATTAAAAGAACTTACACAGAATATCAAAGTATCTCCCCTGAGGAAACTAATTATAAAGAGGAAAATGGTAATGTTATAGTGAAGAAATCCAGCAGACCCCTCCATAACCAACTGATTACAGTTAACACTGCTAATAGTGAGACATATTAACAGGGGCCTCCTAATAGGATAAACAAAGGACACAACTATATTTCTTTAGCATTCTTGCCAAAAATGCATAACCTGAATTTAATCACAAGTATAATCAGATAAACCCAAACTGCAGGATATTCTGCAAAATAACTGGCCAGTATTCTTCAAAAGTGTCAAGGTCATGAAACAGTAAGGCTAAGGAACTGTCCCTGATTACAGGAGAGGCATAAAAACTAAACTCGTGTGATCACACACTGGATCATGCACCAGAAAGAGGACTTTAGTAGGACAACTGATGACATTTGAATAAGTTCTACATTTTAATTAATAGTATCATATCAGTGATTTCTTGACAATTACTATGGTTATGTAAGATATTGGCAGTTGGGGAAGCTAGGTGAGGGGTACAGGGTTGAAAACCTCTGTGCTATTTTTGCAACTTTATTAAAGTATGACATTATTTCAGGAGAGAAGGAATAGAACCCAAACTAACTCCCAACTCTACACTAAAATACAACTCAATAAAAGATCTAAGGACATGAAGAAAAAGAGGTGAGGTACTTTACCAAATGACCTTCCAACTTTCTCCCCAAGGTTCAAAACATTTCTTTACTCTTAGTAATACACTTACAAAAGCTTGGCATTAGTGCTATGTAAGTTCCCCCTCCCTACTCCTAGTCAATATGGTGTCTATCTCTTGAAGATCAAAAATTATAACTACTCATTACAAATAAACTGCACTTAAAACTATTTGCATATCCCATAGAGTTCGATGGAACTCTATGGAACACGTACTGTGTAACAGACAGAATTTCTTTTTTTTTTTTTTTTTTTTTTTTTTTGAGACATTCTTGCTCTGTCACCCAGACTGGAGTACAGTAGCGCGATCTTAGCTCACTGCAACCTCCGCCTCCTGGGTTCATGCAATTCTCCTGCCTCAGACTCCCAAGTAGCTGGGATTACAGACATGTACCACCACTCCCAGCTAATTTTTATATTTTTAGTGGAGACGGGGTTTCACCATGTTGGTCAGGCTGGTCTCAAACTCCCAAGTGATCCACCCGCCTCGGCCTCCCAACATGCTGGGATCACAAGCGTGAGCCACTGCACCCGGCCCACAATTTCAAGCAACCCTTGATGGACAATAAAAGAAACTGCTGATAAAACCAGATAATTTTGTATGGGAATAATTTCTCCCTTTATCTTTTATTCTTATACTTTGCAATTGCAAGGCTCTTCCCTTGTATTAGTTTCCTAGGGCTGCTGTAACATACAAAAAGCTGGATGGCTTTGAACAACAGAAATTTATTCTCACAGTTCTGGAAGCTAGAAGACCACAATCAAGGTGTTGGCAGGGCCATGCTCTCCCTGAAGCCTCTAGGGGAGGATCCTCCCTGGACTTGTTCCAGCTTCTGGTAACCCCAGATGTTCCTTGGCTTGTTGGAGCATTAAATCTAATCTCTGCCTCCATCTTCACATGGCCATCTTCCCTCTGTGTGCCTCTGTGTCATCACACTGTATTCTCTTCCCTGTGTCTGTCTTCTCTTCTTATAAGGACACCAGTCATATTGGATTAGGGCCTACGCTAAATGCCTATGAGCTTGTTTAATAACTTGATTACATCTGCAAATATTCTACTTCCAAATAAGGTTGCATTCATAGGTATAGGAATTAAGATTTCAACGTATCTATTTGGGGGACACAAATCACAAATACGACATCTCTCTGTTCTATAAAAGCATTGTTTTGAAATTACTTATTCAAGATCATTTTAAGAAATGTTTACGAAGCAACTCCTCTATGCTAGGCACTATTCTAATTAGCTACAAACAATGGTAAATAAATTAGATGAAATTCCTGTATTTAAGAAGTTGCTATTTCTAGTTCATAGAATCAGACAATAAAGAGATAAACATGAGAGTTTCAGATGAGAAGTTCTATGAGGTGATAAATTACTTCAAAAGGATGGTCTTATATTTCTAAGGAGGTGACACTTCAGCTAAGACTTGAGGGACATGCAAGTGTAATGACCAAGGCAGGAGGCTGGAGTAGAACAACTATTCTTCTTGTTTGTTTTGAGAAAGAGTCTGGCTCTGTTGTCCAGGCTGGAGTGCAACAGCGCAATCTCAGCTCACTGCAACCTCTGCCTCCTAGGCTCAAGCAATCCTCCCACTTCTGCCTCCCAAGTAGCTGGGACTACAGGCACACACCACCACACCTGGCTAATTTTTGTGTTTTTTGTAGAGATAGGGTTTTGCCATGTTGCCCAAGCTGGTCTCAAACTCCTGAGCTCAAGCGATCCACCTGCCTCAGCCTCCCAAAGTGCTGGGATTATAGGTATGAGCCACTGCGCCAAGCCTGAATGATATTCTTGACAACTGAGGAAAGATGTTTGTTTACTTAATATGACCGTGTAGCAAAGGTATAGACAGTTTACAATTTACTAGACCTACCAACCTTAAAATTATGTGATTCGTAAACAATAATTTTCAAAGAATCATCAATTTTGCACAACAAAGTTCGATACTTAATTTTTTTAATATTACACCCATTTCAATTTTGGCTAAATTTGTACAGACCATAATCATGTTGTGAGCATTTGCTTATCACAAACCTGAAGGACACAGTAAACCACACCAATAACACAGTGTAGGCTAAGTCATGACAATGTACTTTTATAATATGAAACTGTGGTAGTTATTATACAGTAGCATATTTACTATTAAATAAATATTATGCTTCACTACTATAAGAAAATTAATTTCTAGGTGGTGAAAAACTTTGAGGATGGTTCAAGAACTGGAGTATTCCCCCAACAGAAGGTTTTTCAGAATCCCACAGACTGTAAAATTAGGGGAAGAACAAGTTAAGTGAAGTATAAAAGTATCAGAATAATCATAACCATACACTTTTATCACTGCTCACTGGAGCACCATGCCTGCCAGCTGCCCAAGGCAATCATCTTGATTAAATATACTCCAGGGATGCCTCTGATCAGGTTTCTCCTCTTTATTTCTCTAGTGTTTCCCACTGACAAGCTCACTCTCATCAATGAGATATAAAAAACCCACGGAATTAGTAAGAATGCAAAAACTGTTATACTAAGTACAAAATTCTGGGATATGATTATTGATGTAGGTTAGTATAGCATAATACAATGATCAGATTTAATGCAGGCTGTTATGTGGAATTAACAGTTTACTAGACTCATTTCTTACATCTCAATTCCTACAAACATGCAGTATTTCTGTCATTTTTTTTTTGCTTTTATTTTTTCTGCTTTTATTTTTTGAGACAGGATTTCACTCTGTCACCAGGCTGGAGTGTGCTGGCAGATCTCAGCATACTGGAACCTCCCCTTCACCGGCTCAAGCCATCCTCCTACCTCAGCCTCCCCAGT
This sequence comes from Homo sapiens, assembly GCF_000001405.40. Classification (NCBI taxonomy): domain Eukaryota; kingdom Metazoa; phylum Chordata; class Mammalia; order Primates; family Hominidae; genus Homo; species Homo sapiens. The sequence goes on from NC_000003.12 coordinate 136,644,850, forward strand.
AGCTGGGACTATAGGCACCTGCCACCATGCCCAGCTAATTTTTTGTATTTTTGGTAGAGACACAGGGTTTGGGTTTCGCCATATTGCCCAGGCTGGTGTCGAACTGCTGAATTCAAGCAATCCTCCTACCTCGATCTCCCGAAGTGCTGGGATTACAGGTGTGAATCACCATGCCTGGCCTGTCATGTACTCTTATTAAACATTAGGCTCTCCAGAGAAACAGCAACACCTCTACTGGCTAAATAGTGTATGGGTGATTCTGTATGTAGTTATCTGGGACAATTGATATTTTGCTTTTTAAGTCCCAAAACACTTAAGCATATTGAATGGCAAACCTAAATTATACTCCCCTGATTTCACTGCTCAGAGATACATCTTCTATCTCTGCACCCCAAAAACAGCTATAAGGGGTATCTTTATGCGAGAACTGTGGTTTGAGAGAATTGGGTGAAATGCCTGAACATGTGAGAGGTAGGTTTCCTGGTGCTAAACCTGCTTCCTTTCTTCCCCAACTACTCCTTCCTCCATGCTCTATTCTAGGTTAAATGGTAAGTTTCATTGACTTCAGCCCCAACTGCCTCTGCTCATACCACTCTCCATCTCCATTTCACCTCCATCACATCACTCTTCCTCTTCTTCCATACCTCTAGATCTCAACATTTCAAATGTTACTGGATGAAGTAATAAATCTTTTCTTCAAAAGTATCCTAGAAAATTTACTGTCCATGCTGTTCATAGCAAGTAACTGCTTTATTTTAATTTGCACATGAAAATATTAAGCTTTATGGGTAAACCCAAGGTCTTGGACATCTGTTTACAGAAATAGCTCAACTATCTGGAACATAGCTGAAAACTCAGAGAAATAGTCTCCTACACTCTGAATTCTCTTAGTTACCCATAGTGTCTCTCCCAAACCATTTTCTCTCCTCCATTCGACATATATACCACCGTTTAATCTTCCTTATCAGTGCCATCTACTCACTTTCTGACCACCTACCACTGCTCCTCACATTCACTGAAGGTATCTGCATCTTAGTCTTATTTCTGCCCTGCCCTACCATATGTCCCACAACCATAGGCAATGTCCACTGCAAACCCAAGTCTCAGGATTCCTAGACATTTTCAATTCCAAAGACCTACTTCATGTGCTACACTCCACAGCCCGACACTTTAACCAATATGACCTAATCTTCCAACATTCACAGCTTTCTCATGCTTACACTACCATGGCATCTGCTCCTCAGTTTCATACACACAGTCTAGGGCTTACTCCTTTCACTGTCTACGTGTCTCTTCTTCATCTCATTTCCTTAGTCAATCTACACATGAATGATTACCTAAACCACTTTCTCACAAACACTCCTTCTAGGCTCAAGCAATCCTCCTGCTTCCACCTCCCAAAATGTTGGGATTACAGGCATGAGCCACCATGCCTGGCTCAGGTGGAATCTTAATCCCACTAAGCAATCTTTGTATTTGTCCGTGGCTCCCTTTCTGATTCTCTTCAACAACTATTTCAAAGTTTTACTAATATTGAGAACCCATCCTAGGGACAACCTCAATACTCTCCAAAGTTCATCCAAAAATAATTAAGTCATTAGTTATGAATTATCGGTTCAACTTTTTGTCTCTCCCTCAATCACTCTTTATCCTTCAATACTATCTCAGAAAATAAGGTATCCTTGTGGGATAGATTTTTTAAAGGATATAAAATTACAGCCAGGCAGGAGGAATAATCTCTAGTGTTCCATAGCACTATAAGATGACAGTAGTTAAAAATAATATAGTTTCATAACACCTGTAATCCCAGCACTTTGAGAGGCCGAGGCAGGCAGATCACGAGGTCAGGAGTTCAAGATCAGCCTGGCCAACATGGTGAAACTCCGTCTCCAGTAAAAATACAAAAAGTAGCTGGGCATGGTGGTGCATGCCTGTAATCCCAGCTACTCGGGAGGCTGAGTCAGGAGAATCGCTTGAACTGGGACCCAGGAGGTGGAGGTTGCAGTGAGCCGAGATCACGCCACTGCACTCCAGCCTGGGCAACAGAGCGAGACTCCATCTGAAAAAAATATATAATAATAATAAAGTTTCAAATAGCTAGGAAGAAAATATTGAATGTTCCCAACACAAAGAAATAATGAATGTTTGAGATGATACACATGCTAATTACTCTGATCTGATCATTATACATTATGTATACTGCAACACCACTATGTACACCTAAATAGGTACAATTGTGTCAATTTTTTAAAAAACTTAAATCGTTAAATTTAACCTATTTTTTTAAAAATAAATACCATGCATAAATAATTGTGGCACAGAAAATGAGGTAATGGTGTTCAATATGATTCCAGGGTCTGAGAAGTCATGCAGTGCCCAACATACATCCCATTAGTAAATATTGTGGTTATTTAAAAATGAAATAAAAATATCTTTCCTGGCCGGGCATGGTGACTCATGCCTGTAATCCCAGCACTTTGGGAGGCCCAGGCGGGCGATCACCTGAGGTCAGGAGTTTGAGACCAGCCTGACTAACATGGAGAAACCCCGTCTCTACTAAAAATACAAAATTAGCCGGGCCTGGTAGCGCTAGCCTGTAATCCCAGCTACTCGGGAGGCTGAGGCAGGAGACTCGCTTGAACCCGGGAGGCAGAGGTTGCTGTGAGCCGAGATCGTGCCATTGCACTCCAGCCTGGGCAACAAGAGCGAAACTCGGTCTCCAAGAAGAACAAAAATATTTTTCCTTCAAAAAAAAAAATAAGGAAAAAAAGATATTCTTCTTGTTCTTGCTCCCCAAGTCCCCATGTCAATATTTCATTTCCCTACTAGCTCTTTTGCTAAGTCTACAAACCACCCAACTATCCCTTATCACTTAAAACATATAGCCTGTAATTTCGTATACATGTTAGGCACTATACACCTTGTTTTCCTTTGAAGAAAGGCAGTTTATATTCATTGCTTCTACCTTCTCATTTTTCATTCCCTCTCATTTAATAAAGAAAAAAACCTTACTATAATCCCAATTCTCCATTGAAAATACTCTTTGGAAAAACAATCACTACAAAGTATTGTATGATATTAAGAAATTATTGTTGATGTTTATAGTGCTTCTTAGTTCTTATCTTTTATAGATATATACTACAGTATTTACAGATGAAGACAGATTGTCAGGGATTTGCTTCAAATAAATATAGAATGAGTGGTATACAGATGAAATAATAGTAGAGCCATGAGTTGATAACTATTGAAGCTGGACAGTAAGTATCTAGGGGGTTCATAGAATTCCATCTACTTTTGTATATGCTTTGAATTTCCATTAACAAAAAGATAATAAACCCATAGATCTCCACATTATCCTAGTCTTTTCAACTAGACCATGGTTGTTAACCAGAACAGAAATCATTGAGTCACCTGGGTTTGGGGAGTATTCCCTTCTCCCAAACTCCTCAAACACTCCCCAATCCTTGCTCCTCAAGCACCAGTAAACTGCTTCTACTGATGAAATGTGATGTACCCTTTAGTTATGTTAGGTAGTAAAAAGGTTGTTAACATTAATTTTCAAAGCACCTGATGACTCCAACATCTTTATTTCACATCCTAATTTTACTACTGCTTCCTGTAAAAATTTTCTTAGATGTAACACCATGACCTTGGTCAGGACATCCCACAAATTGAGCTTCTTTTCTAACAATCCTCTACCCTCTCTGTCCTCCAAAACAAGAACCTAAGTAAAATTTAAGATTATGTGTTTTATCCAAATTCCTCATTTTATGTAATGAAATCATGCAGTCATCCAAGCTAGAAAATAAAAAACCCTGAAATCAGTCTTGATTTCCCCTTCTACCTACCCTTCTTCCCCTTCTACCATATCCTGACTATTTTACCTGTAAAATGTATGTTAAATCCATCCCTTCCTCTTTCTCTCTAATCTTATACTGTCCTAATAAATAAACGCCCCTGCTGTCCTGTTGAATATTTCAATAGTCTCCTAGTCTTCTTGCTTGCCGCAATTCAATTCTCCACCCTAGAGCCAGACTGATTTATTTAAAATATTTAATCACACCAGCTCCCTATTTAAAATCTTTCAAATAACTCTCTACCACTTCGAGGATAATATTCCAATTCCTAAACATAGCAAGCAAAAATTTTAAGTTCTGGGTCCTCCCCGGTCTCACCTCCAATCTCTCTCTGACACTGTAATTTACATCTCTGTAATATCAAATTATATACTTGTAGTTCATCCCAAATACCTTTATGGTTCAGACCTCCATGCCTTTGCTTATACTATTTCCTCCCTGAAACATTCTATTCACTATTTTGTTTGTTAATTGAAAGGGTTGTTAATTGAAAGGCCAGGGGCGGTGGCTTGTGCCTGTAATCCCACTTTGGGAGGCTGAGGTGGGCGGATCACCTAAGGTCAGAAGCTCAAGACCAGCCTGGCCAACACAGCAAAACCCCATCTCTACTAAAAACATAAAAACTAGTAGGGCATGGTGGCACGTGCCTGTAATCCCAGCTACTCTGGAGGCTGAGGCATGAGAATTGCTTGAACCCGGGAGGCGGAGGTTGCAGTGAGTGGAGATGGCGCCACTGTACTCCAGCCTGGGTGAAAGAGTGAGACTCCATCTCAAAAAACAAAAACAAAAACAGAAACAAAAAAAAAAAAAAAAAAAGAAAGGGTCCAGTTTGACTTAATAAATATTTCAATAGGGCAGCCAATGAAATAAATACAGAAAAATGAGTAACTTTTGTTTGTATATTTAAAAAACTAATATAAAATAACAGGCCAAGTGCAGTGGCTCGTGCCTGTAATCCCAGCACTTTGGGAGGATGTGGCAGGAGGATTACTTCAGCCCAGAAATTTGAGAGCAGCTTGGACAACATAGTGAGACCTCGTTTCCGTAGCAAAAAAAAAAAAGATTTTTTTTGTTTATTTGAGACAGAGTCTCACTCTGTCACCCAGGCTGGAGTGCAGTGGCACAATCTCAGTTCACTGCAATCTCCACCTCCCAGGTTCAAGCAATTCTCCTGTCTCAGCCTCCTGAGTAGCTGGGACTACAGGCACATGCCACCAAGCCTGGCTAATTCTTTGTATTTTTAATAGAGAGGGGGTTTCACCGTGTCAGCCAAGATGGTCTTGATCTCCTGACCTCGTGATCCACCCACCTAGGCCTCCCAAAGTGCTGGGATTACAGGCGTGAGCCATCACGCCCAGCCAAAAAAAAATTTTTGTAAAGTTAGTTAGGCAAGGTGGCATGTGCCTGTAGCCCCGGCTACTCTGGAGGCTGAGGTGAGAGGATGGCTGAAGCCCAGGCAGTCGAGGCTGCAGTGAGCTATGGTTGCGCAACTGTACTCCAGCCTGGGTGACAAAGTGAGACCCTGTCAAGAAAAAAAAAAAAAAGAGAGAGAGACAGGAAAAATAATAATAGAAATAAATATTCCATTCATAATAACAATACAAAAATAAAAATGTATCAACTTATCAAAATATACAGAATAAATATGAAGAAAATAGTCATTTTTAAAGATTGACTAATGATTATTTCTAAACAGTGAAATTAAGGGCAACTTTTATTCTTTGCTTTTGCATCTCCATACATACTACAAGTATTACATATGCAATAAAAACGAAAGATTTTTAAAATCTGGATAGATCTAAATAACTAGTTAGTAACACACTGCTAAAAAGTTACAAATGCCTATCTCTACATATACACACCTCCCAGGGCCTACCCAAATTGTAAAAGGCCTTCAATGTTAGTCCAGGGAACTTAAGATTTCATTTTGTCTAATGAAGCTATCTATATAAATGTTAATTTGAGGCACAGTGGTGGAAAGGACAGAGCGATTACAGCCTAGCTATAAGGCAAACAAGTATAAAGCTCTTATGATAGTACTGTGAGGAGATATTATGGGACTTAATCATGAATCTAGTAGCAGGTAAGCAACAATGAGCTCAAGAAAAAATAAACTGGTAGCCCTGAGCAGTTCAACTGAATGTGGTGGCCTAAAAAAGTGTCATTAAGAGAGATTTATTTCAAAGTATACACACAAGAGAATGGTGGTAGAATTAAAAAAAAAAAAACAAGGAAGATGCAGCACTGGGGAGAAAAGCACTCCCCACAGGGATAAAGGGTAAAGATAATGGGCTCGGTTTTAGAAGAAAGGGAAGATGACAATGGATCGTTCTGTCAGAAATATCCAATGCAGAGATATAATATTAAAGTATCATGTGCTGGGCACTGTGGCTCACACCTGTAATCCTAGCACTTTGGGAGGCCAAGGCAGGAGGATTTCTTGAGGCCAGGAGTTCAAGACCAGCATGGGCAACGCAGTGAGCTCTCGTCTCTACAAAAAATAAACAAAATTATCCCACTGTAGTGGTGCCTGCCTGTAACTCCTGATACTTCAGAGGCTGAGGTGGGAGGACTGCTTGAGCCCGGGAAGTCAAAGCTGCAGTGAGCTAAGATTATGTCACTGCACTCCAGCCTCAGTGAAAGAGCAAGACCCTATCTCACCAAAAATTTAAAAAAAAAAAAAAAAAAGAATCATGTAAAGTAGATTAGATTCAACAGAAACAGACTCTGATCTTGGCTGTAATATTTACTAACTTGTAAATATTAAAATATTAAAAATCTTGTAAATATTAAAAAGTTAGTAAATATTTACAAGTTAGTAAATATTTTTGTAGTAAAATTTTGTAGCAAAATTGATCTTGGCTTTAATATTTACTAACTTGGCTTTAATATTTACTAATTTCTCATGCTAGATCAGTATATATTTCCAACTTTCTCTCTCTCATGGCAGAAGATATAAACCAATAGTCTTATGCAGACCACCTACACAGAGATGATCATATGTAGACTACCAACAGAAAAGAGCTCAAAGTACCTCAAGAAGGGGAGGAAACTTGGAACGCTGCCCAATTATCAAGCCTACACCTCAGTGCCATATCTCCAACGGACCCTGAGATACTTCCATGACATCCTAAGCTCTGTGAAAACCAAGGCAGGGGGTGGGGAGGCACACACACAGTGAATAATATTTATGATCACCTACAATTTTAGCATGTCAGGGGAAGAGGTAACACCTGAAGTCAGGTGAGTGATTCAGAATGAAGGAAAAAGGATAAGTGTGCCCTTGGTTCAACCAGGAAAACATCACAGCAGAAAGTAGAAAGATCACAGGAAAGTCTCAGAAGAAAGTTTCAGGAGCTAAGGCCTTCTTGTGCATAAAAGCAATAAAAGATTTCACAAAGGAAAAAAGTAAATGTGTTTTCATAAAAATTAAAACCTTTCACATCAAAACGAACAAGTTAAAAGTATACCACAAATAACAGCTGCAAGTCATAACTTATACAATTCTGAGAGGAGGAAAAATTGTTAAAAGACAAATATACTCACAGAGGAAAAAGGGCTAACGCACTTGTAGAAAAATTCTCAATATAACTAGGAAATACAAAACATCACTTCATTGCTGATTTAAATTGCATTTTTTTGATCAACAATGAAGTTAAGCATTTTTGCCTCAAGAACACATTTTAAGTGATAATACTTAGGCAGGATAAACTAAGACTGACATCCTCCTATATTGTTTGGTGTTACTTCATCTTAAGAAACTTGAAACTCATTCCATAAAGTTCAGAACACTACAAAGACGCCTATTACCACTGCTACTGTTTAATAAAATAGTAAAGGTTCTGGCCAATGTTATAAGAGAGTTAGAGACAGACACATAAAAATTAGAAAGGAAGAGACCAGATCATCTACAAAGAAAAACAACCAGAATCTACAAATTATTAGACTCAAGTTCCAGTAAGTTTAGTTGAGCACAAGTGCCAGATAAAAGGTAACAGAAAAAATCTGTTAACATCTCCCTCCGATAGCAATAACCAATCAGAAATTAAAATAAACTCCATTCAAAATGGCAACAAAAACAATACCTCAAGAATAGGGTTTCTCAACCTCGGCATTATTGACATTTTTAGCCAGATAAACTAGTTGTTGTGGAGACTAGCCTGTTGATGCTACTAGATGAAGTAGCATCCTCCTAAACTGTGACAACCAAAAATGTCTCCACACATTGCCAAATGTCCCACGGAGGAAATAAGGGTGGGAGACACTGCCCCTAGTTAAGAACTAGCAGCCGGGCACAGTGGTTCACGCCTGTAATCCCAGCACTTTGGGAGGCCGAGGCAGGCAATACCTGAGGTCAGGAGTTTGAGACCAGCCTGACCAACATAGAGAAACCCTGTCTCTACTAAAAATACAAAATTTGCCAGGCGTGGTGGTGTATGTCTGTAATCCCAGCTACTCGGGAGGCTGAGGCAGGAGAATAGCTTGAACCCAGGAGGCAGAAGTTGCGGTGAGCCGAGATCGTGCTGTTGCACTCCAGCCTGGGCAACAAGAGCAAAACTCCATCTCAAAAAAAAAAAAGAAAAGCAAAGAAAAAAGAACTAGCAATTGAGAATAATGAGTACTATGCAGGAAAAAAGGAAATTTGATTGTATTAAAATACGTTAAAAGTTTTGAGCAATAGACAGCCATTACATTCTCTTGGATGGGGCAACTTAACTTAATTTCTCCAAAATTTATCAATTCAAATATGAAATTCAGATGAAAATTCCATTTTTTTCTAATTTTTTAACACTAACCCATTTATATAACATTTATTGTGTGCCAGCCACTATTCTAAACACTATACACATATTTACTAATTAATCCTCACCAAAAGGGTGGGAACTACTCTTAACCCCATTTTACAAATTATAAAAATGTGGCATTGAGTGGTTGGCCCACAGTAGCACAGTTACTAAATGACAGATTCAACCCCAAGCTGACTGGGTCCAGAGTACATGCTCTTAACTTTGCTGAGAAAACACTGAAAAATACAACCCAAAAAAGTTGTCAAACTGAATCCAGAGCATATAAAAGGATTATACACCATGACCAAGTGGGATTTATTCCTGGAATGCAAGGATGGTTCAATATACAAAAACTAATCAATGTAATATACCACATTAACAGAATGAAGAAAATAAAATCACATGATCATCTCAATGCAGAAAAGGTATGAGAGAATTCAATACCCCTGCATAACAAGAACACTAAGCAAACTAGCAACATAAGGGAATTTTCTCAATATAATAAAGATGATATATGAAAAACACACAGCAAACATCAAACTCAATTCTGAAAGACTGAAAGCTCTTCATCTAAGATCAGGAACATAAGAAGAATGCCTGCTTTTACTACTTCTATTTAAAATAGTACTGAAGTCCTAATCAGAGCAATTAGGCAAGAAAAAGAAATTAAAATAAAAGCAACCAAATTGAAATGAAAGAAGTAAAATTGTTTCTGTTCAGACAACATAATCCTGTATGTAGAAAACCCTAAAGATTTCACACATAAAAGCTTTAGAATAAACAAATAAAGCCAAGTAGCAGGATACAAAGTCAACACACATAAAAAAAATCAGTTGCATTTCTATACACTAACAATGAACAATCTGAAAAACAATTACAAAAACTGTTCCATTTATAACAGCATCTAAAGCAGTGAAATGTTAATGAATAACTTAACCAACAAGGTGAAAGACTTGTAGTACACTGAAAACATGGATGAAAGAAATTAAAGACACAAATAAGTAAAAACACATCCCACGTTTTTGGATTGGGAGACAATCTTTTTAAATGTATCAATACTACCAAAAGCAGTCTGCAGATTCAATGCAAACCCTTTCAAAATAACAACAGTATTTTTTGCAGAAATAGAAAAACTCATCCTAAAATTTATATGGAATCTCAAGGGATCCAAATAGCCAAAACAATCTTGAATTTGAGGAACAAGATACTGAATCTTGAAGAACAAAGCTGGAAGACTCACACTTCCTACTTTCAAAACTTACCTCAAAACTACAGTAATTAAAACTGTGTGGCACTGCCATACAAATATATTGACCAATGGAATAGAAAAGAGAGCCCACAAATAAGCCCTTGCATGCATGGTAACATGATCTACAAGAAAGTTGCCAAGACTATTAATGGAGAAAGGACAGTCGTTTCAACACATAGTAATGGAAAAACTGGGTAGCCACATGCAAATTTGGACCCTTATTTAACACTAAATACAAAAGTTAACTCAAATGGATCAAAGACCTAAATGTATGACCTAAAATTATAAAACTCTTACAGAAAAAACATAAGACAAAACTTTCACAGCATTAGGTTTGGCAATGATTTCTCAGAACAACATCGGCACAGACAACAAAAGAAAAACAGGCAAACTGGACTTCACAAAAATTTTAAAACTTTGTGCATCAAGAAACAAATCCAACAGGGTAAAAAGTCAACCCACAGAACAGGAGAAAACCTTTGCCAAGTATACATGTGATAAGAGATTAATATCCAGAACAAATAACTTCTACAACTCAACAACATAAAAACAAATAACCTGATTCACAAATGGGCAAAGAGATTGAATAGACATTCTCCAAAGAAAATACACGAATGGCCAGTAAGCACGTGAAAAGATGCTCAATATCATTAGTAATTAGGTAAATGCAAATCAAAACCACAGTAAGATAACACTCATCATCCATTAGGATGGCTATAATAAAAAAATCCAGAAAGTAGGCTGGGTGCTGTGGCTTATGCATGTAATCCCAGCACTTTGGAGGCCAAGGCAGGTGGATCAGCTGAGGTCAGGAGTTCCAGGCCAGCCTGGCCAACATGGTGACACCCCATTTCTACTAAAAATATAAAAATTAGCCAGACATGGCGGCGCATGCCGGTAGTTCCAGCTACTCAGGAGGCTGAGGCAGGAGAATCACTTGAACCCAGGAGGCAGAGGTCACAGTGAGCCAAGATCACACCATCTGCACTCCAGCCTGGGTGGCAGGGTAAGACTCCATTAAAAAAAAAAAAAATCCAGAAAGTAACAAGTAGAGAAATCAGAACCCTTATATACTGTTGGTGGGGATGTAAAATGGTATAGCCACAGTGTAAAAAAATATGGTGTTTCCTCAGAAAATTAAGAATAGACTTACCATACAATCCAGCAATTTTACTTCTGGGTATGTAGTCCAAAGAACTGAAAATGAGGTCTTGAAGACATATTTATACACCCATGTTCATAGTAACATTATTCACAGTACTTCAATCAAGGAAGCAACTCAAACTGACAAATGGATAAACACAATGTGGTATACACAAACAATGGAGTATTATTCAGCCTTAAAAAAGATAATTCTGACAGATGTTATGAATGAAACTTGCTTTCATTATGCTAAGTGAAATTAGCGAGTCGCAAAAAAATAAAAAAAAAAAACACCAAATACTGTATGATTCCAATTACATAAGATACTTAAGAGTAATTAAATTCATAGGAACAGAAAGTACAATGGTAGTTGCCTGAAGCTGGGGTTGGGGGCACTGAAGGGTTTTTATTTAACGGGTATAGAGTTTCCAGTTTGCAAGATGAAAAAGAGTCCTGGATACATACAGCGGTGATGGCTGCAAAACAATATGGACCTATTTAATACCACTAAACTATACACTTAAAAATGGTTAAGATAGTAAATTTTAGGTTGTGTGTATTTTATCATTTTTTTTCCCAACATTAGCGGTGGGGGTAGAAACGGTGGTGGCAGAGGGGTCCCCAGAACAAAGCAATGCCAATCCACTTTATGTTTGACTTCAAATATAACCACACAAAACAACAATATATATAAGAACACATACAAATAAACGTGTGCTCTCTGTATTTATTTGTGTGTGTGTGTGTGTGTGTGTGTGTGTATCAAACCTATGGAGAAAAGGAGAATGAGTGAATAACCCACATAAAGGAAATAAATAAATAAAATGAAAGCAAGGCTTTGAATGAGTCAATTACTGCATGCCATGAACTGTGGTCAGGATTAATTCAGCCCTCCGCACCTGAGGTCCTACAAGTAAATTTAAAGTAATTTACACGTCAAAAAAAATGTAAAAGCTCTTCCAGAAAGCATCTAATATTAATACGTATCAAGACCTTTAAAAATCAATAATCTTTAGTTCAGCAATTCCTCTTCTAAAAATATTTCCTAAAGCAAAAATAAATACATAAATGAAAATATATTTACACTTAAATGTATTATCCACTCTGAACTACTTTATAATAGCCAAAAAAAAAAGAAACAATGTCCTATAAATGGAGAGCAATTACTTGTGAATATTTTTTATACACTATTAAGAACTATGAGAAGAATTGCTTATGATATGCAATACTTATATGGAAAAAAAAGTGGCCAGTGTATAGATGCAAATATAAAGAACGTCCTCTCCTACACGTTTCTTTCTTTCTTTTTTTTTTTTTTTTTTTTTTTTTTTGAGACAAAGTTTCACTCTTGTCGTCTAGGCTGGAGTGCAATGGCACGATCTTGGCTCACCACAACCTCACCTCCCGGGTTCAAGCAATTCTTGTCCCTCAGCCGCCCGAGTAGCTAGGATTACAGGTGCATCCCACCACGCCTAGCTAATTTTTGTATTTTTAGTAGAGACAGGGTTTCACCATGCTGGTCTCAAACTCCTGACCTCAAATAATCCGCCTGCCTCAGCCTCCCAAAGTGCTGGGATTACAGGCATAAGCCACCACACCCAGCCATCCTACACAGTTCATATATACTCACATGCACATAAAAAGACTGAAACGGGCCAGGCAGGGTGGCCTCACGCCTGTAATCCAAACATTTTGGGAGGCTAAAGCCAGTGGATTGCTTACACCCAGGAGCTCGAGACCAGCCTGGGCAACATGGCAATACCCTGTCTCTACTAAAAACACAAAAATGAGCCAGGCATGATGGTACATGCCTGTAGTTTCAGCTACTCCTGAGGCTTAAGTGGGAGGACTACTTGAGCCTGGAAGGCACAGGTTGCAGTGAGCCAAGATGGCACCACTGCACTCCAGCCTAGGCAACATAGCAAGTTGCTGTCTCAAAAAACAAACAAACAAAAAAGGCTGAAAAGGAATGAAATGCACTAGAATGCAATAGTAGCTATGAGTTGTGGATTTCCCTGTTGACTTGTTGTACTTTTCTTTTATCTCTTGGTATTAAATATAAAAAGGGAACACTATTAAGAATAATCCAGTACTACCAGAACTGGCAGACCAGGACTTATGGTCACCTGCACACTATCATTTAAAAACAAAATGAGGCTGGGTGCAGTGGCTCACACCTGTAATCCCAACACTTCAGGGGGGGCTGAGGTGGGACAATCATTGGAGACCAGCAGTTCCAGGTTACACTGAGCTATGATCGTGCCACTGTACTCCAGCCTAGGTGACAGAGCCAGGTCCTGTATCTTCCACCCAAAAAAAAAAAAAAGCATTTCCAAGGGGTAATACTGATGATTAACGAACTTACAGATTTTGGTGTTTAGAGGAACATTTATTGAACTTTAAGGTGTTTTGTCAAAAAAAGTAATGAGGGCATCCCACATATCTAGGTAGGTCTATTAAGAAAAGTTTTTCTGTAATATTCCTGAGTGTTACTTGAATAGGAAATTTAAAAAAAAAAATCAAAGGTAATTTAGGGTGTTGGTAGATATTGATTTGTATCACCAATTTTTGCTTGCAAAACCAAAAAACCAAATATAACTATACACCAGCATAGCTGTAACATAATCAGTTCATCAATTTCAACACTAGTACCATAATCAATAATTTTTTAAGACCCTAAGTAGAAACAGCAGATATGTAAAATAAGCTACATGCCTTAGTACTCTTTTCCAAGTACATATGGCTGAACTAACCAACTGAAGTTTTTACAAAGTGAAATCATTTCCGAGGTGATGTTAAATTATTGATTAGTAAATTTCATCTGAATTATAAATTCTGATAATTATGTTTTACTTATATTTAACTGTCAAAAGTAGTAGTAGGTGGAGACTGATGAAAATTCTGTCATTTAACAAGATATATGTTACTGTGCCATTTTCCATGGCTCTATTAATTTTTATTATGGTAGTTAATTATGCTTAATTTTACTTACTTTACTGGCCTCAAAATCCACAGTACACACCACAACCTCCCTTTTCACACCATCCAAATACCCCTAAGAATGAGGCAAGTATTCATGGGGCTATCTTAAGAATCAAGTAAGAGGCAATTCTAATCTAATTCATGTAACCAGAGTAAAATTTTGACGCTATTCCTGGTTTTACCACTCTTTTTGACCCTGCACAATTAACAACCTTCTCACGCCTCATTGTAATTAACTCCTCTGAGACAGGTACTTCAGAGAATAGAGCACAGAACGCGAGTGATAGCTGTGAAAGTGTTTCTTTAAACAACAGTAAAATAAGGAAAAGTGACAAGATTACAACATTCCTAAAAGGATTTTGAAAATTATTTTTCCAAAAATTTGTCCTGTCTCACTGTCATTATTCATAAAACTACTTCCAGCAAAATTGTGTTAACAGTAATATAAGTGTTAAATTTTTGTGAGCTGTTCTGTTAACTTCAAGAGCTTTAACAGGATTCCTTCAAAACCCTCTTTCATTTGCTCAATTCTCTTCTCAAGCATATTAGACTCCATTAACAGCCAATCATGTAAGCTGAGCTGCAAGTGACCCGAGAGTTGCCATAGCAACAGCTGCTTTCTGAAATACGTGTTATGCATTTTAAAAGCTTTCACAGAGAGGATACCACATTTATCAATTAACAACCAAAGCTCAACACAGCACATTATCCAAATGAAACGGAAAACTCAACTACCTTAAAGGGCAACTACTTCGTAATAAAAGGAATGTCTGGTATTCTTGACCCAAAATGCTATCATGGTTTGTAAATTACTAAATGAAGTCTATAATTAATGACAGAATAGTTGAATACCATGTTTAGTAACGTGCAAAACTGATACAGTAAAGGAGAAGAATAATCAGGACTAAAATTTAGCAATGGGCCATCAAGGGTAATGAATGAACATATGCTATAATATACTAGAAAAATTGTCATGAAATCTTACTAATGAAAAGGTTGGTCCAAATGTGGTATACTGAATTTTTTTTTGGCTGGGCATGATAGTTCATATCTGTAATCCCAGAACTTTGGAAGGCCAACTCAGGAGAACTGCTTAAGGCCAGGAGTTTCAGAACAGCCTGCACAACAAAGCAAAACCCCATCTCTATAAAATTTTTTAAATTTTTAAAAATTAATGTTTTTCAACATACATGCAGCATGTGCGTGTGCGCATGTGTGTCTGTATACATACTTCACAGATACATGACAAATGTGGAGGCAAACAGAAAAGACATTCTACTATTTTCAGGAAAAATCATTCTTTTGGCAATTCATTGGCGATAGATGTCTCTTCCTATAAAACTCTTTCTCATAGAGAGATGTACAGCTACCCAGGGTTTACCAGTAAAGTCATTTCCACAGTGTGCAATTCTGCAACTAAGAAAATTCAAAAACTTGTCTCTGCAAAATAACATCAAAGCTGTTACTTTTAACGTATGGCCCACAATTGAAGAAAAAAGATAATAAAATTTAGCAATCTTAAAAAATGAATTTCTAAAACTATATTCAAACAATTAATTCAAGTGAATAAGCAGAATGTTCAAAAAGTACTACTCAGGATGTTTTTCACGAGAAAAAAAACTACAAATAGGATAATTAGACAAAACATACTGAAAACACTAATGATTATACTGTAACACTCAAATACAGGAAAGGAAAATACGTTGGGTAACATACTCTAAAGAGAGACTTTAAATTAATGTGATAGAAAATCCTGTTTCATACACATTCTAAGTTTCCTACAACTTCAAAGGGAGAATTTTTTTTAAACCTGGGGACTGGCGAGGCATGGTGACTCACACCTGTAATCCCAGCACTTTGGGAGGCTAAGGTGGGAGAATCACTTGAGCCCAGCAGTTTGAGACCAGTCTGGACACATGATGAGACCCAATCTCTAAAAAAAAAATAAAAAATTAGCCAGGTATAGTGGTACACGCCTGTAGTCCCAGCTACTCAGGAGGCTGAAGTGGGAGGACTGCTTGAGCCTGGGAGTTCAAGGCTGAAGTAAGCCATGATTGTGTCACTGCACTCCAGCCTGGGCAACAAGCGAGACCCTGTCTCAAGAAGGAAACAAAAATAAAAATAAAACCTGGGGACTACTGTTAACTATTAAAGCAGAAATTCAGAAAATAATGTATAACAAGGATGAAAAAGGTAAATTGTTTTAATGACTAAGTGAACAGGCTAGCAACAAACCACCATAGCAATGCCTAGGTATGGCCCCAAATATCTTAGAATAACTCTAGAAGGCCTAATGTTTGAAGTATTGTTGTATTCATAAAGTATTTATTAATCTCCCAACTAACTCCTGTGTCCTAAATATTATTCCACCTCTAGATGGTAGAAAATATAGTACATTTCTATCAATATGAAAATCTCACCCTTTACTTCAACTCTGTATTCTTTATAAAGGTTGAACATTCCTAACCCAAAAATCCAAAATTCAAAGTGCTTCAAAATCCAAAACTTTTTGAGAGCCTATATGATGTCATAAGCGGAAATGTCTACACCTGACCTTAGGTCGTGGGTTGCAGTCAAAACAAAGGTGCACAACAGTTTATTCAGTGTCAACAAGGGAAAAATAATACTGCCTTCAGGCTATGTGTATAAAATATGTATACACATACGAAATATAAATAAATGTTGCGTTTAGACTTGGGTTCCATCCCCAAGATATCTCATTATGTATATGCAAATATTCCAAAACCCCCCCAACCAAAAAAAATCCAAAATCCAAAACACTTCTGGTCCCCAAGCATTTTACATAAGGGAGACTCAACAAACTCTGAACAAAATCAAATACTGAATTCAAATCCAAGCAAAATGAATTCAAAATCCAAGCACAATATTAATACTACTAATAGCTGTTGTCTCTTAAGCACTTGTAAGCAACTAACATGCATTAATTCATGAGATCTTCACAGTATCCCTGTGAGGCAGGTATTATCATCCCCATTTTACACAAGGCACAGAAAAATTAAGTAACTTGCTCAAAGTCACACAGCCAGCAAGTTGTGGAACCAATGATCTAACTCAGATAGTCTGACTCTGTATCCCACACCCTTAACTATTATCCACAAAGCAAATGTAAGTAAATATGGTTTGCAACCTACTATCCTTCATCCTAATAAGCTGACGTTTCTCTAATCACCTCACACCTTTTCTCTCCTTAGTTCAGCTAACTGAGTCTTAGCTAGGCCAATTTTCCAGTTTACTAATTCCAGTAAAGCAAAACACAGTTAGACTCTTTTTTTTTTTTTTTGGAGATGGAGTCTTGCTCTTTCGCCCAGGCTCAAGTGCAGTGGCATGATCTCAGCTCACTGCAGTCTCTGCCTCCTGGGTTCAAACGATTCTCCTGCCTCAGGCTCCCAAGTAACTGGGATTACAGGTACCTGCCACCATGCTCACCAAATTTTTGTATTTTTAGTAGAGACAGGGCTTCACCATGTTGGCCAGGTTGGTCTCAAACTCCTGACCTCAAGTGATCCACCTGCCTCGGCCTCCCAAAGTGCTGGGATTACAGGCATGAACCACCATGCCTGGCCTTAGACTCTTTGAGACAGGGTCTCACTCTGTTGCCCAGGCTGAGTGTGCTAGCGCAATCATGACTCACTGCAGCATCAACCTCCCAGGCTCAAGTGAACTTCCCACACCTCAGCCTCCCAAGTAGCCAGGACTCTAGGAGCGTGCCACCATGCCCAACTAATTTTTGATTCTTTGTAGAGATGGGGTCTTACCATGTTGCCCAGTCTGGTCTCAGATTCCAGGGCTCAAGCGAGTCCCCTGCCTCAGCCCCCCAAAGTACTAGGATTACAGGCAAAAGCCACCGCACCCAGCCTTAGATTCTTTTAAAAATAAAATCAGCTGGGCATGGTCGCTAACATCTGTTAATCCCAGCATTTTGGGGAGCCAACGTGCGTGGATCACCTGAGGTGAGGAGTTCAAGACCAGCTTTGCCAACATGGTGAAATCGCATCTCTACTAAATGTCAAAAATTAGCCAAGCATGGTGGCAGGCGCCTGTAATCCCAGCTACTTGGGAGGCTGAGGCAGGAGAATCGCTTGAACCTGGGAGGTGGAGGTTGCAGTGAGCCAAGATCGCATCACTGCACTTCCAGTCTGGGCAGCAGAGTGAGACTCCATCTCAAATAAATAAAATAAAATAGTAAAATTAAATTAAATTAAATTAAAATAAAATCAAGTGGGTTGAAAATAAATAAACCTACACAGCCTATACAAAAACTGTGTAAGAGGATAAAAAAGCTGTTTGTTTTTTTAAAAAGGATATATATGTATGGATGAGTATAGTTATGATGATGATGTTGACAAACAGCAGTTATCAAATGCTTAATATAAGCCAGGAACTGTCCTAAGAACTTTCTTTATATGCCCTTAACATTTAACTCTCACAACAACCCTATGAAGTAGATATTACTATTCCTACTTTAGAATAAGCAAATAGGTACAAAGAAATGAGGCAATTTGCTCAAGAGCACATAGATTATAAGTGGCAGAATTTAATAAGTGAGATAGAAACCTGACAGTTTGATCAGAGATAGATTCACTCTTAACCATGACCCAATCAGTTAGCACCAGAGATAAGGGGAATGAAAGATTTTACAGGTAGGCTTCAGACAAGCAATCATGTTTTCATCATTCCTAAAAATAAGCATGGCTCCTCATGTAGATATAGCAAAAATAAACTCTTAGAAAAACTGGAAAACACCAAAATGTAACACTAACTTAGGACTGTTAAGTAAACTATAAGGTTTCCAATTGAACACGGTGGACTGAGCATACAAATGTACTCTTTGTTCCACCCTTGATCTTCAGGTAACAACAGAAAGCTGTTTTATTTTGTTTTTAAACTCAGAAATCAAATCATAAACATATGGAAGGAAAAAAACTCCACTCTCAGATCAGAAAATGTGGGTGATACCTAGAAAATATAAAACAACCGAGATCCAACTAAGAAAAAGTAAGCAAAGGAAACTGCAGCAAAGATAGTGGTTTAGGTCTTCCCAAAGGAGATAAAGAGAGGATCCAAGCTTAAAATGCAAAGAGCAGGGGTTAGGGGTGGGATATCATCAATTTTATCATGTAAAATTTGCATTCCAAATGACTTAGCCAACTAGGCCTCTCCTCCTCTTCTTGCTTAAAGAGTTGACAGCAAGGCTGTCAGCTTCAGGATTAAGCCCAGGTACTGGTCTAAAGTATTCTTCAAACTATGGGGTTTCAAACAGTTTGGTGGGTTACTAGTAATTTTTAATGATCTGGAATGCATATAACAGAAAATACAAAGTGAAGCTATGTCCTATTTCACGGAATTTTTCTTTAGTTATAGATTTACAAGTTAATATACATGTGTGTACTAAATTGCAATGTAAAATGTATTTTGAACTATGGAACATAGTGCATAAAAGTTTGGAAGCTACTGCTCTAAACAAAATGGGCAGGTCTGTGAAGAGCTCTTGAGGTAGATGTTGAGACCTAAAAGTAAACAAGGGCAGCTCTTCAGACACTAAAGCATTCCACTCCCAAAATAAGGCATGATTATTTTAGCAATTGGGGGTACCTAGAAGCCTGCCACCTAGTCAACCATATACCTTAGAGCACTGTTTCTCAACCTTTCTTCCTATTACTAACACCAATGGAGCTTTTTTAGATGGTTATTCCCTAATCACTCCCTCCATGAAAAGTTTAGAACCACAGATATACTATACATTTGTGTATTGTATGTATATCTGTGCTTTACACACAAAAAGAGCAACTTTTTTTTTTGCCCCCAAAACCAATTTTTTGAGAAACGCATGCCTTTGAGAAGGCATTAAAGACTACCACATGCCACAGCCAAGAGAAAGACCTGTGGATGAAATAAACCTGCAACAGAGAATCTCATTCCAGTTACTTAAACAGACCAACTTAATCCTCCTTTCATGAATATGGATGGGCAACCAAGAACCATCAAACCTGAGGAAAAAGAAAAGATATTTTTTTAAAAACTAACAAAAGTATCTAAGAGAGCAGGCAGAGCTGCAAGCCCAGAGGGTGAAACTGCAAACCACAAAGGATTATTTTCAGGCCTTGAAATGTAGTGGAGTTTCTCCAGCTGGTTTTTGAAATTGCTTGGGACTTGCGACTCCTTTTTTACATCTTCTCCCTTTTTGAACCAGAATGTCTATTACTGTCCCAACACTTATTTTGGAAGAAGTAAACTTGTTTCTTTAGTTTCACAGGTCCATCAATAAAGAGCATCACCCATATTTTTATTTAGATGATCTAGATGTGAGATTAAGGACTTCTGAGCTGAAAAGCTTGAGATGAGATATTGAACTGTTATACAATGAGATCTTTGAGGACCTTGGAATGGGGTGGTTGTATTTTGTATGTGAGATAGATATGGATCATGGAAGCCAGAGGAAGGACTGTGGCTAGGCAAGATTTAGGCCCTTTATGATTTTTGTCCCTTGCTGTTACTCTTCTATATACTGTACTACATAGCGTTAGGGTTACAGACTTTAAAATAAGGCAGTTATCCTAGATTATCCAGGTAGGTATGATATAATCAAACAGGCCTTTAGAAGTGAAAGAAGGCCAGGCGCAGAGGCTCACACCTGTAATCCCAGCACTTTGGGAGGACGAGACAGGCAGATCACGAGGTCAGGAGATCGAGACCACCCTAGCTAACACAGTGAAACCCCATCTCTACTAAAAATACAAAAAAATTAGCCAGGTGTAGTGGCAGGCGCCTGTAGTCCCAGCTACTGGGGAGGCTGAGGCAGGAGAATGGTGTGAACCCAGGAGGCAGAGCTTGCAGTGAGCCAAGATCACGCCACTGCACTCCAGCCTGGGCAACAGAGCAAGATTCCGTCTCAAAAAAAAAAAAAAGGCCAGGTACAGTGGCTCACACCTGTAATCCCAGCACTTTGGGAGGCCGAGGCAAACAGATCATGAGGTCAGGAGATCGAGACCATCCTGGCTAACACAGTGAAACCCCGTCTCCACTAAAAATACAAAAAATTAGCCGGGTGAGGTGGCGGGCACATGTAGTCCCAGCTACTCGTGAGGCTAAGGCAGGAGAATGGCGTGAATCTGGAAGGCAGAGCTTGCAGTGCGCCGAGATTGCGCCACTGCACTCCAGCCTGGGCGATAGAGTGAGACTCCATCTCAAAAAAAAAAAAAAAAAAAAAAAAAAAAAAAAAAAAAGAAAGAAATGCAAGTGGTCTATAGAAGCTGAGTGTGACACTTCCTCCCCCAAGCCAACAGCCAACAGGGAAATAGGGCTTAGTCCTACAAGCACTTAGAAATCAATTCTGCCAACAATCTGAACAATCAAGGAAGCTGATTCTCCCCTAGAGCCTCCTGAAAGAAAACAGCGCTGCCAACACCTCGATTTTGGTCTTATAAGACTCTTAAGCAGAGACCTTGCCTAGCCCTCTGAACTTCAGACCTATGGAAACTATGAGATTATAAATGGATGTTTTAAGCTTCTAAATTTGTGGTAATTTACTGTAGCAATAAGAACTGTATAAGAACTCAGAACTGTAACACTAGTTTTGCAGATCATAAATGTTAAGCACAGAGAGTAAGTAACTTGCTAAAGATCACATGATGAATAACTGTTTGATACGACTGGGCGCGGTGGCTCACGCCTGTAATCCTAGCACTTTGGGAGGCCGAGGTGGGTGGATCACCTGAGGTCAGGAGTTCAAGACCAGCCTGGCCAACATGGCGAAACCCCATCTCTACTAAAAATACAAAAAAATTAGCAAGGCATGGTGGTGGGCACCTGTAATCCCAGCTACTCAGGAGACTGAGGTAGGAGAATCGCTAGAACCCTGGAGGTGGAGGTTGCAGTGAGCCGAGATCACGCCATTGCACTCCAGCCTGGGTGACAGAGTGAAACTCTGTCTTTAAAAAAAAAAAAAAAAACCTGTTTGATGCTAGGATTCAACTCCAAGTAGTGTGGCTTGTGCTCTTAAATGAAGAAGACAATATAAGCAACAAGGAACAGAGACAGCTGAGCATCTAGAAAGAAAACTGAACCTGGCAAAGCTGAGATACATGGAATTATATTCCACCTATATAGTTTCAACCAAACCACTCACTTCTGGACTAAGTTATATTTATGTAATTATAGCAAATAAAATTACTGATTTTCAATTTTTAAAATCAATTTTTACTCAATAGGCGGTCTAAATAATATATACAACTAAGTATAAACATAAGCTTTAACAAGGTAAAAATAACATCACCAGTAAACAAAAATTTAAAAATGGAGGAGAAAAGGTAAAAGAATGTTAGATATACTAATTCCCTTATCTTTCAGAACACACATGATAATAACAGACACTATCTAAAGTTGGATGTGGTGACTCACACCTATAATTCCAGCATTCTGGGTGGCAGAGGCAGGAGGATGACTTGAGTCTAGGAGTTCATGTCGAGCCTAGACAACATAGCAAAACCCCATCTCTTAACAAAAAAGAAAGATAGATAGATAGATAGACAGACAGACAGAAAATGAAATAATGATATCAGTGAGATTATGACATAGGTATGATTATGAACATATGAAAATGGTTTTCTTAGAGTTTGGAGAAGGGGTGGATTGTTTATTTTTCATTTTGTGCATTTCTGTGTTTTTGTGGTGCCATCTTGGCTCACTGCAACCTCCGCCTCCCAAGCTCCAGTGATTCCCCTGCCGCAGCCTCCCAGTAGCTGGAGTTACAGGCACATGCCACCACGCCCAGCTAAGTTTTATATTTTTAGTAGAGACAGGGTTTCACCATGTTGGCCAGGGTGGTCTCAAACTCCTGATCTCAAGTGATCTGCCCGCCTTGGCCTCCTGAAGTGCTGGGATTACAGGTGTGAGCTACTGCCCCTGGCCCCATTTCTGTGTTTTTTAAACCATAAGAATGAATGATAATGTCTTTAAATACTTATTTTTTAAAAACCACCTGGTTGTGTGTCAGTTCAGGTTCTCTAGAAAGTAGACCTGGCCGGGCATGGTGGCTCATGCCTGTAATCCCAGCACTTTGGGAAGCTGAGGCAGGCGGATTGCTTGAGGCCAGGAGGTAAGACCATCCTGGCCAACTGGTAGAGAATAGTAGATAACTGGCCAATTGGTTCTCTTTAGTAGAGAACAAAACTCTGTCTCTTCTAAAATTACAAAAATTAGCCAAGCATGGTGGCATGTGCCTGTAATCCCAGCTATGTCGAGAGGCTGAAGCACAAGAATTGCTTGAACCCAGAATATGGAGGTTGCAATGAGGCGAGATCATGCCACAATGCATTCTAGCCGAGGCAACAGAGTGAGACTGTCTCAAATATATATATATATAAAACACATTATATATTATACATAATATATATTATACATGATATATAATATATATTATACATGACATATATATTATACATGATATATACCATATATTATACATGATATATATTATACATAATATATTATACATAATATATAAAATATATATTATGTATAATATATATAAAATATATAACATTTATATATTATATTTATATTTATATATCTATAAAAAAATAAAGTAGGCCCAAGATGGAGTTAAAACTTTAAGAAACATTTTGTGAGAAATGCCTACGAAGAATGAAAGGAGAAAGCAAGAGGAGTAAGCATAGAGAAAGCCTTCAGGCTGCAATGCAGGCTGCCAACTGTGAAAGCAGAGGAGGAAGGAGGGGAAATCAGGAAAGGACACGGAACAGTACAGTTCTGATCTGCCAGCCCAGCAGAGAACTCGAGAGAAGCCCCATGTTGAGCAGAAATGGTCAGACCGTAGTATCTACTGGGATCAGTCACTGGGAGGGAGCTGCCTGAGGAGAATGTGGCTCAATGATGTAGCCAATCCCAAAGGCTCTGCAGCTGGAAGCTATCAGCTAACACTCCTCAATAGAGACTTCCTTCAAGGGAGATCGAAGCAAAACACTTCCAGAACTATCACAGATGTCAAAGGATGGAATATGATGCAGCCATTAAAAATATTAGAGGTCAGTAATTTTCCAACTATGCTTGCTTTCTACATGATGCCCTATACTTCTTCAGTGGTACCTCCAAGGCAGAATGTTCAGACTGGTGAAGAAAGCCAAATACTGAGGTTTTCTATTACAATCCCTCCTTCAACCGCAACAGCTCTAGTTTTGTTGTATTTACTCCATTTCTCTGTAAGATCTGTTTGAACAAAAAGTTGCAATGCTAGTAACAGTTGTAGTATTACCTCTGTCACAAAAAGGAACTTCCAATTGAAAAAGGCAACACACTGTATTTAGAATCCACTTGCCTGCTTCTAACACACAAAAAACGCTGAAAAGATCAACACGGAAATGTTAACAGTGGTTACCCTATTGGGTGGTGAAATTAATAACATTAATGGTCGTTGTTGTTTTTTGTTGTTGTTTTTGCTTACTTGAATTTTCTTTCTTCTTTCTTTTTTGAGACGATGTCTTGCTCTGTCACCCAGGCTAGACCGTGGTGGTGCAATCATGGCTCACTGCAGCCTTGAACCCCCGGGCTCAAGCAATCCCCCCAGCTCAGCCTCCCAAGTAGCTGGGATTACAGGCGCACAACCACCATGCCTAACTAAATTTTTATTTTTATTTTTGTAGAGATAGGGTCTCACCATGTTGCTCAGGCTGGTCTCCAACTCCTAGACTCAAGTGACCTGCCTGCCTCAGCCTCCCAAAGTGCTGGGATTACAGGCATGAGCCACCACACTCAAGACATATTTTCTATACATTTTACAACTGACATTACAAGACTTCGGTGATAAAAATAAAAAGACGCCATTTCAAAATTTTGTGTTTAAAAAACAAAGCTCTAATCTAACAAACTGACTTCTCACAACTTCAGAGCTATATTGCTGCAGAAAATAATGTGGCTTTCTATTAACTAGTAGGAAAAACCGTATTTACAAGGTATAACATTTACTTCAAAGACTACTCATTTGATATATGAATTTACTCCATATACCATAATAGTTAAAGAATATTCAACTAATTATGTGCTACTAATTGGTAACACACAAATAACTAAAATATATCACATAGTTTTCAGGAAATTTTCAATGACTCCAATATATAAATTCCAGGACCTGGCACAGTGGCTCACACCTGTAATCCCAACACTTTGGGAGGCCAAGCCAGGAGGACTGCTTGAGCCCAGGAGTCTACAGTCAAGTTATTCACTAATCATTTTGATATTATAGAATCATCCAATATTAGCAGCAATGCCTGTGGTAAAAAGCACATAGGTATATGTAACTGCCTTTGTTTTCCCAACCCTATAGCCAAGAAAGTTTCCAGTATTCCCATTTAACAAATGCAGAATGTGATGTATGAAGCCAAGGTCACAAGTGACAATGCCATGGAAAAACAGTGATTCATAATTAAGTGATTTTAAAACTACACTGGTAGAGCTCCTGTAGAACTCATGCATTTCCAACAAGACCCTAATTTAATTTACCACAAAGAAAGTACAATCATTTTATAAGAAAAGAACCAAAAAAACTAGTATTTTTCATTTTGGTTTTATACCTTTTTTGGGGGGTGGGTGGAGCAGAGAAGGACAGAATCTCACTCTGTCGCCCAGGCTGGAGTGCAGTGGCACAATCTCAGCTCACTGCAACCTCTACTGGGTTCAAGCGATTCCTGTGCCTCAGCCTCCTGAAGAGTAGGGATTACAGGCAGCATTCCCAGCTTATTTTTTGTATTTTTAGTAGAGCCAAGGTTTCGCTATGTTGGCAGGGGCTGGTCTCTAATTCCTGACCTCAAGTGATCCGCTTGCTTCAGCCTCCCAAAGTGCTGGGATTACAGGTCTGAGCCACCATGCCCGGACTTGTTTTTTCTTTTTAATCAACTTATATTTTCAAGTAAAATCATCTATATTAACACATGTTGAAATACATGTTAGCTGACACCACCTGAGATTTCAATAATGGATGTATTTTCCAGATGTTGGTGGAATTTTGTTTTCTTTTTGTTTTGCATCTGTATATGCCAGAAATTACTCAAAAGTGAAGAGGCTCTTAATATTTTAATGAGATTTTCTCTTTAAAAGGAAAGTACCGGCCGGGTGTGGTGACTCACGCCTGTAATCCCAGCACTTTGGGAGGCCGAGGCGGGCAGATCACTTGAGGTCAAGACTTCAAGACCAGCCTGGCCAAAATGGTGAAACCTCGTCTCTACTAAAAATACAAAAATTAGCTGGGCATGGTGGCGCAGCCTGTAATCCCAACTACTCGAGAGGCTAGCACAGGAGAATCGCTTGAAATCAGGAGGTGGAGGCTGCAGTGAGCCAAGACTGCGCCACCATACTCCACCCTGGGCAACAGAGCGAGACACCATCTCAAAAATAAAAAGAAAGCACACACACACACAAAAAATCATACGTGCCATATAGCTTGCATTTTTTTCTCTTCTAGATGCTTTGTATACCTATGACAGGCAGTATTCTCATACTCTATTTGGGTCTCAATGGAGCCTATCATCTTCACAAATACAGAGGAATAGGAAGAAAAGGCTAAAAGTTACTAGTGTAGGAATGCGAGATTATCTCTAGATAATGCCTTTGATAGTACTAATAAAAATGTAGAAGTAAACTGAAAAGAAAAGGTTCTAAAAACAGGACTCTTGAAGAAGGAGTTTAATGAAAAAGCAATGTATTACACTGGCAAACAGGGACCTGGTGCAGTGGCACACACCTGTAATCCCAGCACTGTGGGAGGTAGGTGGATGACTTGAGCCCAGAAGTTCGACACTAGCCTGGGCAACATGGTGAAACCCCATTTCTACAAACATTAGCTGGGCATGGTGGTGTGCACCTGTAGTTCGTGTTATTTTGCAGGCTGAGGTGGGCAGATCACTTGAGCCCAGGACGCCGAGGCTGCAGTGAGCCAAGATGGCATTACTGAACTGGGTGACAGAATGAGACCATTACCTTGAAGAAAAAAAAGAGAAAGAAAAAGAAAAAAAGTAAACAGACCATCATTCACTAATGTAAGTGTAGAACAAAAAAGATAAACTAATATTTTCATCATCAGTGACACAGGGGGTGGTAGTAAATTTCACTGCTGAAGTATGAACTGACTCACATAACCAATCCACCAATAAATTTCTGGAGTTTCACTCAAATAAATATCCAGAAACATTTTTCTTTTCCTTGGTTACTGTTTACCAAAGCAAGGATTCCATTCCCTTAACCTGTAGCTGGCAGTCTGGCCAATACACATGCATCTGACTACAAGAACAGAAATGTCATGAGAATTCAGATTAGCTCACAAAAATGAGGCCTACAAAATGAAAATTACCACTCTTGTTAAACACATCAGTTAAGATGGAAACAGCATTTTCAATAGATGTGTATGTGCACACAGATGTGTGTTTCAACACAAAACCTTAAATTGAAAAAGTGAGGGTTAAATAATAAAAATACATAGTGAGAAATATAACTTCTACAACCCTTGACCCCAAAGGCAAACAAACCCACTGTGACCAATTTTGTCTGTATATTTCCAGATATATTGTATTCCTAAACAAGCATCTAGGAGTATATATGTAGTTTAGAGAGAGAAAAAGACTATCACAAAGCTTGGCTATTTTTTATCTTTAGCACTCACACATTTCCATTAAAAGTTTACCACAATAAAAAAGCTGCCACAAAACACAAAAATTAAAAAAGCTTGTCATCACAGTGTAAAAGTCAACAACTAGAGTACTTAGAACATGATAAGCATTTAGCCAATGTTTTAACCACTCCACTCCACCCCGCAACACACACACAGAGAGGGGGGAGATCCAAGATACATGCTAGTCATATGTGCCAGTCAAAAGAAGATACAGAGAATTCATACAGCAGGTAAAGTTCATATTTTAAAATATAACAGTATTGTTAGACAAAGACCATGGTGAAAAGGCTAAACAAATAATTTGGACAGAAGAAAAATTACTATTATGCAGCACATACTGACATGGAATATTCAAGCTCACTAAAGCAGAAGAAAGAAAATGAAGAACAGGTGACTCCCAAAGCAAGACTAGATGTTATCTACTCTTATACTGAAAGTAACTTTCCAATGTCATTATACATGGAACATTCTCATTAAGAGATGGGGCATCTCAATGAAGAGATCATTCTTTTCTACTGGATTGAAAAAGGGAATAAGAATTCGTTTTAATATCAAAACAACATAGAGAGTTACTTCAAAGAAATAGGGTAAACCTGTTTAGTTTTAAATTTCTAGAAGCAGCAAAGTTGAATTTGGGCCACTTAAATCTGTAAACTGTGTTTTCAAAAATGAGGAAGAATACGTAGCAAAGGGTTAGACAACAGATGGCTAATATTAGCTTAAAAATGTACTGAATGAGTTTGCTGACAATTCTTAGTTATAGTTTGTACCTTAAAATCTCTTCACTGTATGACACGGTTGAGTATGTACTGAGCCTAGGATGAACAGTATTTCATTTTTTATTTTATTTTGGGGGAAAAATGAGTACTAGTTGTAATATAACTAGAAAACATGAATGGTAAGATCCAAAAGGAGCTTCATGAAGGTTTAAAAAGTAAATTTAGTCATGAGAAATGACTGCTTGATGTGTGGTTTGAAAAACTGTAATAAAATAGGCCCAACATCTGTATTACATGTTGTATGTATGTACATGCCACAATCCCTCTACCTCAATTATGTCAACCTGTTATCATAACAATTATCTAAAGGGAAACAGAAAAATTTTTCACCTCAAAGCCTGCCCATGATGATAATGCTTTTGTCTCCAACTTTGCTGTCTCTATGCATGAAAGACATGGTTATAACATACTTGCTAAATGTGGAACAATCTGAACATCAAATACAATAACTATAATTGATTATAGAAAATATAAAAATACAGGCCAGGCGCAGTAGCTCACACCTGTAATCCCAGCACTTTGGGAGGCCGAGGCAGGTGGATTGCTTGAGCTCATGAATTCAAGGCCAGCCTGGGTAACATGGCAAAACCCCGTCTCTACTAAAAATACAACAATTGGCCAGGCGTGGTGGTGCATGCCTGTAGTCCCAGTTACCCAGGAGGCTGAGGTAGGAGAATCACTTGAACCTGGGAGGTGGAGGTTGCAGTAGGCTGAAATCATACCACTGCACTCCAGCCTAGGTGATAGGGAGTGACTCTGTCTCAAAAAAAAAAAAAAGGGAGGGAGGGAGGGAGGGAAGGAAGGAGGGAGGGAGAGAGGGAGGGAGGGAGGGAAGGAGGGAGGGAGGGAGGGAAGGAGGGAAGGAGGGAGGGATTAATTCAAAAGAGCCCAAAATTGATAACAACCCAAATGTCCAAAAAGTGAATGAATAAAACAGACTGGAATATATCCATACAATGAATGCTACTCACCAACAAAAAAAGAATAAACTACTAATAAATGCAAAAACATGCATGACTCTTAAAAGACATTTGGCTTACCTCAAGAAGCCAGACAGAACAGTACATATTGTATGATTCCATCTATGTGAAATTCTGTAGAAAAATTCTGTCACTTATATAGTGATAGAAGCAGAACTGTGGTTGCCTGAGAGCAGTGGTGGGAATAACTGACCAAGAAGGGACACAAGGGAACTTTCTGGAGTGCTAGAAACGTTTTCATCTTGACTGGTGGTGGTAGTTACAAAAATCTATACATTTGTCAAAACTGAAAATGTACACTTACAATGGACACATTATCAGTATACTAATCCTAAATAAAGTTGTTTTTTAAAATAAGTATCCTGATTGTGGTGACTGATGTTTTCACAATGTATACTTATGTCAAAACTTAACAAATTGTACGCTTTAAATATGTACCATTTACTGCATGTCAATTCTAACTCAATAAAGCTGTTTTTTAAAAAGCTAAATGAAGACTTGCATAATTAGTTCTGTCTTCCTGTTTCCTTAAAAAACGAAATTCTACAGCCAGCCCTGAACATGTAGAGTAGAGAACTTTGCTACTTTCTAGCAAAAGTTAAGAGAGTAACTCTCTAGCAAAAGTTGGGGGTTGGGGGGAGCCGGAAACTAAACTAAAAACAGTAAATTGTGAAACCTATTTAAACATAATTAAGACTACTGAAATGTTCAACTAAAAAGTATTCAAGTTGGTTTCATAATTGTAACCAACAGTAGATGTCCTTCCAAAGTGTGAATATTAAGTGACAACAGTTAAAATAAGGATTTAGACAGGAAAGCTCACTGTGGCAGAAACTTTCTGGCCAAAATCTAATTCCCTTACCACTATCTTGTCCCCAGTCAACTTCCAGAAAAGAGTGACCATTTGGCATTGTCCAACCATTAAGATGTGAAGACTGTTTTGGAGTTCCTGGTACAGTCAATGTTGCTTCCCTGTCCTCTTGCTTCCAATGCTTGGAGCCACAACAGCCATATGCAAACATGAGTGACAGGCCAAAAATTAATCATAGAGACATCTGTCCTGATACCACCACGCCAGTGAATCAATACCAGCAACACTGCAACTCTGCTTATTATGAAGGAAAAATAAAGCTCTGTTTTATAAAGCAAGTGCAGTCTGGTTTTCTGTTATCTAATGCCAAATTCAACCCTAACTGATAGAACCACTGTTATCATTTTTTTAAAGTTGAGATATACAATTCACGTGCTATAAAATTCACCCTTTCAAACTATACAATATAGTAGGTTTACTATATTCACCAATTTGCATAACCATTACCACTGTCTAATTTCAGAACACTTTCATCATACCAAAGAGACATCCCATATCCATTAAATCACTCATTATCCTCCCCACCCCTACTCCCTGACAATCACTACTATTTGGATTTGCTTATT
Source organism: Homo sapiens (assembly GCF_000001405.40). Classification (NCBI taxonomy): domain Eukaryota; kingdom Metazoa; phylum Chordata; class Mammalia; order Primates; family Hominidae; genus Homo; species Homo sapiens. The sequence continues at coordinate 136,675,757 of NC_000003.12, forward strand.
TTAAACATTTTCATATACATGAAATCATATATTATTATTAACATTTGTGTCCAGTCATATGTTGCTTGACTGTATTTCTCTTTTCTCCATCAACTGATGAATAAACACTCCACAATGTGCAATGAAGAAATTATCTAATGATGCATTTTCTCAGAAAATTTTCTTTACAATGTGCAAACATTGTAGAATGTACTTACACAAATGTAGATGGTGTAGCCTGCTACACACCTAAGCTATATGGTATAGCCTATTGCTCCTAAGCTACAAACCTGTACATCATGTTACTGGACTGAACACTGCAGGCAACTGCAACACAATAGTAAGCCATTTGTGTATCTAAACATAGAAATGGTACAGTAAAAATATGGTACAGAAGACTTAAAATGGCACATCTATATGGGGCACTTACCATGAATAAAGCTTGCAGAACTGTAAGTTGCTCTAGGTGAGTGAGTGAGTAGTGAGTGAATGTGAAGGCCTAAGACATTACTGTCCATTACTGTAGACTTTACAGACACTGAACATTTAGGCTACACTAAATTTATAAAATAATTTTACTTTTCTTTCAATAATGTCTTAACCTTAACTTACTGTAACTTTTTTACTTTATGAACTTTTTACTTTTTAAACTTTTTGACTCTTTGGTAATAACACTCAGCTTAAAACAAACACATTGTCTGGATATACAAAAATATTTTCTTTCTTTTTGAGACAGGGTCTTGTTCTGTCACCCAGCTAAAGTGAAGTGACTCAATCATAGCTCACTGTAGCCTCAAACTCCTGGGCTCAAGTGATCCTCAAACCTCAACCTACTGAATAGCTAAGACTAAAGGCATGTGCCACCATACCCAGCTAATTTTTAAATTTTGTATTTGTGGAGATAGGGTTTCACTATGTCTCCTAGACTCGTCTTGAACTTCTGGCCTCAACTGATTTTCCGAACTAAGCCTCCCAAAGGGCTGGGATTACAAGTTTTTGTTTGTTTGTTTGTTTTACATCCTTGTTCTATAATTTTTTTTCTATTACTAAGCTTTTTTGTGATTTTATTTCTTAGACTTTTTTTATTTTTTAAACTTTTTTTAAGTTAAGTTATAAAAACTTAAAGTTTTTTCTTTTTTAAACTGTGCCTTAAAAACTAAGGCACAGGCATACACATTAGCCTAGACCTACACAGGGTCAGGATCATCAATATCACTGCCTTTCACCTCCACATGCTGTCCCACTGGAAATTCTTCAGGAACAGTAACACCCATGAAGCTGTCATCTCTTATGATAACAATACCTTCCCTCTAGAATATCTCCTTAAAGACCTGCCAGAGACTGTTTTACAGTTAACATTTTTTTATAAGTAGGAGTACACTCTAAAATAACAATTGGAAGTATAGTACAATAAATATACAAACCAGTGACATAGTCATTTATTATCAAGTATTATGTACTATATGTAATTGTATACGTCCCATACTTTTATTGTAAGACTGGCAGCCCAATAGGTTTATACCAGCATCACCACAAACGTTGACTATTTTGTAGTTCTATGACATTAGGAAGGTTACGAGATCACAAGGACTAAAATATTACTAGGCCATAGGAATTTTTCAGCTCCATGATCATCTTATGAAATAACTGTCACACGCAAGGTCACTGTTGACTGAAATGTCATTATATGACATATGACTATATATAAAAATCAACAGCTTTTTCTACTGGAGAAACGAGAATTGCTATGGTCTGAATGTTGGTATCCTGCCAGCATTCAGGTTAGAACCTAATACCCAATGTGAAATTATTAAGAGGTGGGGTCCTTTTGTGAAGTAATTAAGGCATGAGGACTCTACCAACATGAATGGAATTAGTGCCCTTATTAAAAAGGTTGATGTAAGTTGCCTTGCCCTTTCTAACATGTGAAAACACAATCTTTGCAGCAGAGTGAGCCCTCGCCAGACACTGAATTTACTGGCACCTTCATCTTAGACATCCCAGCCTCTAGAATCAAAATAAATTTCTGTTGTTTATAAATTACTCAGTATAAGGTATTTTGTTATAGCAGCCTGAATAGACTAAGAAAATAATCTTAGAGAAGGAAGTGAGATTAAAATACTCTCAACATCAGATCATTTCTGATATATATATCATATATATAATATATATTATATATATTTAGTACTTTGATATATATTATATATTATATTTTATATATGTATATAATATATATATATTCTCAACAGCAACAATACCTATATATGACTTCTGAAGAAATTTAGTAAAAGTTGGCACTAGTATGAAGAAAATACACATTCTTAGTGAAGGGCATAAACTTTATCATGTATTTGAAAAGCAGTGATAGAAGTATCAATTGCCCCCATATTAATTTATTAATTTTATGTAATTCAAATTAGAATCAAAACAATTTCTACTTTATTAAGAAAAAAATCGAGTTTATATATAAGAACAAATGCTAGAGAACAGCTAATGCTAAAAAAAAAAGGTGTAAACTTGAAACTGCTTCAAATAACAGTGCATATTAGACTGTCACAGAAAATAAATCAATATAGTATTGATATAGAAACACATCAATATATAAATAAAATAGTACCCAATGATGAAAAAATCCATAAATATAAAGATTTTAAATGAAATAGGGCAATCACCCAAGTCAGTGGGAAATAGATGGCTTAATTTTTTTAAGTGTTGAGAATCTCCAAGCAGAAAAAAGTAGATTCCCTTATGTTATCCAACATACAAAAATAAACGAGGTAAACATGAATTGCAAAAAAAAAAAAAAATCTTATAGGAAAACAGTATGAGAAACATTCACTACTCAAAAGTAGAACTATAAAAAATTCATATTAAAAATTAAGTTTTTGTATCTAGGGAAAAGTAAAAATATTTCAACAGTGGTAATGAAGAACTAATGCTTTTAACACACACTGAGCTTCTGCAATTTGAAAAAGATAAACAACTCAAAATTAGGTGCCATGTGTGGTGGCTCATGCCTGTAATCCCGGCACTTTGGAAGGCCAAGGTGGGATAATCACTTGAGGCCAGGAGTTTGAGACCAGCATGGACAACATAGCAAGACCCCCATGCTCACAAAAAAAAAAAAAAAAGAAAAAGAAGAAAAAGAAAAAAAAAAAACAATCAGGCATGATGGCATGTGCCTGCTGTAGTACTAGCTACCTGGCAGTGGGGAGAGCAGGGCAAATTTTATTTCAACAAAGAATATCAAAAATACTTCACAAAAAAAAAAAAAAACAAATGTCTACAAACATAAAAAAGATGTTCAAACTTATGCCTGCCCAAGAAATTCAAAGTAACAGAAACTAGGAGACATAATGTTACACCTATTGGGCTGGCAAACTTAAAAAGTTACAGCCCTACTGCTGGCAAGGATGTAGGAGAAAGAATTCTCCAACATTGCTGGTGGCAAATTTTTGTGGAAAGCAATTTGGCAACATCAAGTGAAACAAAAAATATAGAAATCCTTTAACCCAGCAATTTTACTCCTGGAAATCTATCCCACAGAAATAAAAGCAGCATGGGCCAGGCACGGTGGCTCATGCCTGTAATCCCACCACTTTGGGAGGCCGAGGCGGATGGGTTCCTTGAGGTCAGGAGTTCGAGACCAGCCTGTCCAACATGGTGAAACCACATCTCTACAAAAAAAAATACAAAAATTAGCCCAGCATGGGCCGGGTGCGGTGGCTCACGCCTGTAATCCCAGCACTTTGGGAGGCCCAGGCGGGCGGATCATGAGGTCAGGAGATCGAGACCATCCTGGATAACACAGTGAAACCCCGTCTGTACTAAAAAGACAAAAAAATTAGCCGGGCGCGGTGGTGGGCGCCTGTAGTCCCAGCTACTCGGGAGGCTGATGCAGGAGAATGGCATGAACCCACAAGGCGGAGCTTGCAGTGAGCCGAGATAGTGCCACTGCAGTCTGGCCTGGGCGAAAGAGCAAGACTCCGTCTTAAAAAAAAAAAAAAAAAAAAAAAATCAGCCGGGCATGGTGGTGCACGCCTGTAATTCCAGCTACTCAGGTGGCTGAGGCATGAGAATTGCTAGATCCTGGGAGGCGGAGGTTGCAGTGACCCGAGATTGCACCACTGCACTCCAGCCTGAGCGACAGAGTGAGACTCTGTCTCAGAAATAAATAAAAGCATCATGAAGTCAGGACATATATTCAAAGATACAACATTATTTAAAATGAGAAAGAACTAGAAATAAAATATATTCCCATAAATGTGGGAATGGCTAAATAAATTTTATACAACACAACATGAAGCATTCATTATACAGCCATGAAAATAATAAACTACAGTCTGGCCAACATGGCGAAACCTGTCTCTACTAAAAATACAAAAATTAGCCGTGCACGCCTGTAATCCCAGCTACTCAGGAGTCTGAGGCATGAGAATCACTTGAACCCAGGAGGCAGAGGTTGCAGTGAGCCAAGATCGTGCCACTGCACTCCAACCTGGGCATCAGAGCGAGACCCTGTCTCAAATAAAAAAAGAAAATAATAAACTAGAGCTATACCTTAGGTGGGGGAATTCCCTCCAAGCTGTTATTAGTGAAAAAGCAAGTTACAGAAAAGTGTGCAAAACAATCCCTTTTTTAAAAATCTTCACATAAAGGCCTATATAAGTAAAAATACACATAACTAAAAGATTGTATGAGTAGAGAGAAAAAGAGTAACATTTTTAGTAATACAGTAAAATGGAGTAATACGTAATACTATTTACAAGAATTTTTGGGAGGCACAGGGGCAGGGATTAGGGAAGGGATACAACGGGAAGGAAAGTTGAAAACCAAGTCAAAAACAATGGCATGAGTGATAAATCCTCATTTATTATTTCATGTAAAATTATAAATAAAATATTTTTAATTTTAAGCAGATACATCAAGATATAAATTTTGTCCAAGATAAGGATGAAAGATTTACACTTACACATAACAAGATAAAGAAACCTAAAGTAACCATTGAATAACACAAAAAAATTATAACTAGTGGTAAATATATATATAAAGAAATATATATATTACATATACCTATATACGTATAAAAGTATACATTTATATATACAGTCATTCCTCAATATCCATGGGGGATTGGTTCCAGGACCCCACCCCCACCCCACCCTTGTGAATACTAAAATCCACAGATGCTCAAGTGCCTTATATAAAATGATGTAGTATTTGCATATATCCTACAAACATCTGTCCATATATTTTAAAATCATTCTTGCAACCTTTTAAAATTTCTTATGATACCTAATAAAACATAAATGCTATATTAATAATTGTTGTATTGTTTAGGAAATAAGAAAAAGTCTATACACATGCAGTACAGACAGAACCATTCTTTTTTCCCCAAAATATTTTCTACCCACAGTTGGCTGAATCCACAGATATAGAACCCATGTACGAAGTTATGTATATGATATGCAGGGCTGACTGTACACATAAAGTATCAAAATTCACTGAGGAGAATATAATCAATCTGTGAATTACATTTCAGAAAGCTACAAAAAGCAATTTACCTATGCCCTAATTGAAGAATATGAATCTTTATATTAGAATTGAAAACTGTATTAATCACAAATATTTAATTGAACGATTTAAATGAACAGCTTTGATATGTGAAATTAAGCCTTCCTTATATGATCAATCTGCCTGTAGCCTTGGGGGAAAAATACACTCCCTTAACTCAGGCACAATCCAAACAAGGTAGTATACAAGGCATGAGGTTATAAATAAGAGCTGAAATACCAGGCTATATAAAGTATCTATAAAATGAACACAGCCACTGCCATTTACAGCAAAAATTGGCATTACATTTTTTTAAAAAAGATAACTTCATTTTTCAAATGTTTCAAGATTAAACAAAACACTAGCAAACTGAACTCAACCTCATATTAAAAAGACTATAAACCATAACCAAATGACATTCATTAATAAAATGAAAGGATGATCCAACGTATGAAAATCAATACACTACATTAACAGAAAGGGAGGGAGTCACATGATCATCTCAATGCAGGAAAAAAAATGACAAAATTCAAAAGCCTTGCATGATAAAAACAATCAGCAAATTAGTAATAAAGGAAATTTTTTCAATATAACAAAGGTGGCATATGAAATACGCACAGCTAATATCATACTCAATGTTTAAAGATAAAAATCTTTTCCTCTATGACCTGAAAGAGGGCAAGGATGGCCACAGTCACCCTTTCTATTCAACATGGTGCTGGAAGTCCTAGCCAGAACAACTAGGCAGGAAAATGAAATAAAAAACATCCAAATTTTAAAAAAAAGAAATAAAACTATCTCTATTTGCAGAAGACATGATCTTACATGTGAAAATATAAGAAATCTACAGATTTCTCTAAAATATATATACCGAAAACTCATGCCTGTAATACCAGCACTTTGGGAGGCTGAGGTGGGTGGATCACCTAAGTTCAAGATCAGCCTGGGAAACATGGTGAAACCCTGTCTCTACTAAAAATACAAAAATTAGCCAGGCGTGGTGGTGGGTGTCTGTAATCCCAGCTACTCCGAAGGCTGAAACAGGAGGTTCACTTGAACCCGGAAGGCAGAGGTTGCAGTGAGCCAAGATCATGCCACTACATTCCAGCCTGGGCAACAGAGTGGGACTCTGTTTCACAAAATTAAAAAAAAAATAAAATATATATATATATATACACATATGGACAGAGAGGTGAGAAAGAGAACTAAATATGTCACACGAAAAAAACACTTTTTATAACCAATAAATTCAGTGAAGTTGCAGGATACAAAAATTACCAAAAATTTACATTTTGATACACTTTTAAACAATTTGAAAATGAAATTAAGAAAAGAATTCCATTTACAATACCATGAAAAGAAATAAAATACCTCGGAATAAACTTACTGAAAAAGGCAAAAGACTTAAACACTGAAAACTATAAATGTTGCCAAAAGACATTAAAGAAGGCACCAATGATCCAGCAATTCCACTGCTGAATATATACCCAAAAGATTTAAAAGAAGGCTCTCCAAGAGATATTTATACACCCATGTTCACAGTAGCATCATTCACAATAGCCAAAAGGCAGAAGCAACCCAAGTGTCTACTAACGGATAAATGGATAAAAATGCAGTATATACATAACATGGAATATTATTCAGCCTTAAAAAAGGAAATTCTGACACATGCTACAGTATGGATGAACCTTGAGGATATTGTGTTAAGCGAAATAAGTCAGACACAAATATACAAATATTATATGGTTCTGTTTATATGAGGTGCCTAGAGCCATCAACATTCAGAGAGACAGAAAACAGAATGGAGGATTGCCAGGGGCTACAAAGAGAAAGTTAGTGTTTAACAGGTGACAACGTTTCACTTCTGCAAAACAAGAGTTCTAGAGATTGGTTGCACAACAATGGGAATATATTTAAATATTACCAATTGTATATTTAAAAATAACTAAGATAGTAAATTTTATGTGTATTTCAACACAATTTTTTTTTTTTTGAGATGGAGTCTGGCTCTGTCTCCCAGGCTGGAGTACAGTGGCATGATCTAGGTTCACTGCCACCTTTTCCTCCTGGGTTCAAGTGATTCTCCTGCCTCAGCCTCCCAAGTAGCTAGGACCACAGGTGCACACCAACACACCCAGCTAATTTTTGTATGTTTTGTAGAGCTGGGGTTTTGCCATGTTGGCCAGGCTGGTCTCAAACTCCTGGACTCAGGTGATCCACCAGCCTCGGCCTCCCAAAGTGCTAGGATTACTGGCACGAGCCACAGTGCCCAGCCTTCAACGTGATTTTTTTTTTTAAACTACAGATAATGTTGTACTGGTGAGAAACTAGAAACTTTCCTACTAAGATAAGCAACAAGGCAAGGATGCCCTCACCTTTTCGACAATGTAATGGAAGTCTTAGCTAATGCAGTAAGATATGAAAAGGAAATAAAAGGCATACAGAATGGGAAGAAAAAAGTCAAAACAGTCTCTGTTCCCAGGAGACGAAATTGTCTTGCAGAAAATCCACACAAGAGCTGACCAAAAAACTCTTTGAACTAAAAAGTGATTGTAGCAAAGTTAATATACAAAAGCCAATCGCTTTCCTATATGCCAGGAATGAACAAACAATTTGACATTTAAAACTCAATACCATTTATGTTAGCACCCCAAAACATAAAATGCTAAGGTATAAATCTAGCAAAACATGTACAAGATATATATGAGGAAATGTATAAAACTCTGATGAAAGAAATTAAAGAACTAAGTAAAAGGAGAAATATTACATGCTTGTGGATAGGAAAACTCAGTATTATCAAGATGTCAGTTCTTCTCAACTTGATTTATAGATTCAACATAATCCCAACCAAAATCCTAGCAAATTGTTTTGTGAATACTAACAAAGCGATTCTGGTTTACTGAAGAGGCCAAAGGTCTAAAGTAGCCAATATGATACTGAAGTAGTATAACAGAACAAAGTCGGAAAACTAACCGTAGCAACTTCAAGATTTACTATAAATCTACAGTAATCAAAACGATGTAGTGTTGGCAAAACAATACGACAAATAGATCAACAGAAGAGAAGGGAGTCCAGAAATACACCCACACAAATACAGTCAACTGATCTTTGACAAAGAAGCAAAGGTAATACAATGAAGAAAAGATAGGCTTTTCAAAAAACAGTGCTGGACCCAAACAGGCGGGGTGCATTGGCTCGCGCCTGTAATTCCAGCACTTTGGGAGGCTGAGGCAGGTGGATCACTTGAGGTCCAAAGTTCGAGACCAGCCTGGTCAACATGGTGAAACCCTGTCTCTACTAAAAAATACAAAAATTAGCTGGACGTCGTGGCATGTGCCTGCAGTCCCAGCTACTTGGGAGGTTGAGGTGGGAGAATCATCGGGAGATTGAGGTGGGAGAATCGCTTGAACCCGGAAGGTGGAGGTTGCAGTGAGCCAAGATCACGACACTGTACTCCAGACTGGGCAACAGAGTGAGACCCTGTCTCCAAAAAAAAAAAAAAAAAAAAAGTGCTAGAACAATTTGACATCCACAAGCAAAAAACATCAGTCTAGACACAGACCTTAAACTCTTCACAAAAAATAACATTAAAGACCCAAATGTAAAAGGTAAAACTATAAAACTCTTAAGACAATAACACAGAAGACAATCTAGATGACCCTGGGTTTGGAGATGGCTTTTTAAAGGTACAATCAATGAAAGAAATAATCAAAAAGTTGGACTTCGTTAAAATTAAGAACTCTTGGCTGGGCCCGGTGGCTCACGCCTGTAATCCCAGCACTTTGGGAAGCCAAGGCAGGTGGATCACCTGAGGTGAGGAGTTCGAGAACAGCCTGGCCAACATGGTGAAACCCCATCTCTACTAAAAATACAAAAAATTAGCCGGATGTGGTGGCACACACCTGTAATCCCAGCTACTCGGGAGGCTGAGGCATGACAATTGCTTGAACCCGGGAGGCAGAGGTTGCAGTAATCCAAGATCGCACCATTGCATTCCAGCCTGGGCGACAGAATGAGACTTCCTCTCCAAAAACAAACAAACAAACAAACAAACAAACAAACAAAAGCCCTCACCAAGAAAATGAACCCAATAATGATGAGCCAGACCTTAAACAGACACCTCACATCTGGCAGTTTCTTACAAAACTAAACATATTCTTTTCATAAGATCCAGCAACTGTACTTCTTAGAATTTACTCAAATGAGTTGAAACATATGTCCACACACGTTTATAGCAACTTTACACACAACTGACTGACAAAACTTGGAAGCAACCAAGACGTCCTTCGGTAGGTGAATAGACAGATAAACTGTGCTAAAAGAAATGAGCTCTAAGTCTTGAAAAGACATGGAAGAACTTTAAATGCATATTATTAAGTGAAAGAAGCCAATTTGAAAAGATTATATATTGTATGATTCCAACTATATGACATTCTGGAAAAGGCAAAACGAAAAAGGCAGTAAAAAGATCCATGACTGCAAAGGGTTGGGGGGACTAGTATGCCGAGTATCAAAATCAAAGTATAGAGACAAATCTCTAAGCAAAATATTTCAGCTGGGAATATATAAAACCAGAAGTGCAACTTGGAACAAACACAAAGACTGAGGTGGTCTTTAGTATGTCTGAAGAATAAAGAAGATTGGGGTTTAAGTAGGAAAGATAAATGTTATGTATATTGTTTTAATAGAAAGCTCATTGGTGCTAGTGAGAGTTCTCAAGTATTGGTAAGCTCTGATTGGTGAGTGACAGCAGTAGGTAAAACTAGCCACAGAGTAAGGCAGGTGGTTTTAGCAGCTACTAGGCAAAACTGGCCTTAAGATTACAGCAGGTTGTTTTGGCAGCTGGGCTTGGAAGATAATTCCTGGCACAGGCACTTTATGCTCTGAGTGTTTTTCCCCTACCTGGTGCCTCAACTCCAAATTAGTTGGGTGTCACAGTAACTCCAATTCACATAATCGATTTTCACATTTTTCCCTTTTCCTCAAACTCTTTCTCTGAAAGCATCAACTATCCTGAATTTAGGCTTTAATTGTCTCTCAGTGTGGAAATGGATGTATCCTTGTTGTCTCTGGTCCCACATCAGGGAGAAAATATGACAGTCAATGTCAGGGATCCAAGCCACAAGTTAGTTACAAAGAGGACAAAAGGAAAAACCCTCATGGCAGGTTTGCCTGGAGTTCAGAATTGAATTCCATCTTATTAGAGCCACAGGCATTAGCAATCGCCTCGAACCGTTAGGCCAACATCATCTTGTTGGGAGAACTGGCTTTACAAAGGTTAGGCAACAAGAACAGAGCTTAAAGATCATAAGGTAAAGAACAGTAACATAATAAATCTAGTTTGAAAAACAGCTCTAATCCATGAACCCAATTTTGAAAGTAACCAACTGAACAGATCAAAAAGTCTAGATGTATTTGATGAACTTGTTGGAACCAGGTGACTTGTTTTTTTTAATCTTCTATAATTGTGTTTTTACTTTTCCAGAGGAATTTATCCATGTGTAGTAAGTAGAGGCAGCAAATGCATAAATGCCTCCTTGTTCAGCTACTTAAGTAATTCAGAGCAATCCTAATTCACTTTAGCAAGAGAATCTAGTGAAGTCTGTTGAGATGCAATGGCTTAAGCTGTGGAGTCAGCTACAGACCCAATTAGTCACAAATTTTTGACCACTGTTTATAAGGGGCTAACTGATCCAAGGGAAAAAGGATCTAACAACTGGGACCATCCAGTTGGATGCATGTTTCTTGGTAAAGTATCTCTTTTAATATGATGGTGTAAGTTAAGAGGTGACAACCAATGTTCAGATTTTGCTAATTTAAATCCAGAAATATCTCAAACCACACTGGTATTTTTTCTTTAATTGACTGAGACATTATGTTGTCCATGCATATGGTTGACTACTGAATCCCCCTCAAATGAAACTGTATCTTGATAGAGCACAACAGGTAATTCCATCTACAGTCTGTGTGTATTCATAGTTACTTGTAGGGAGGTGACAGCAATACTTATTTAAGGTTCTATTATTAAACTACTATATTGTTGGAAGACATAAAAAATTAGAGGAACAGGGTCATAAATGTTTTTGTAATCTGTTAAATTTTTTTTCTTGAATTATATTACCATATTTTTCTTTACATAATTTGAATTTAATTTTAAAGTCTTTTGTGTAGACTCTAGGTATTACGGTGAAGCAGGGAATCTGCATAAGTGGGTCCAAAAACTCGACCTTGAAAAAAAAGGTCCTATACAAAATCTGAATAGTTGCACTGGGAACATTAGTAAAAATTTGTTATAAAGTAAACTAAAGGTTCATTTGGATCATGGATAGATGAGGGTTTTGGGTGATAAATCTAAGAGTCAGTTGTGTTTTCCCCTTTGGCAAGAGACTGGGAAACGTGGATTATACATTGTCTTTCTAGAAAAATGAAGGTATCTAAGAAGAGACCAATTTTTTTTTTTTTTTTTGAGGCAGAGTCTCCCTTTGTCGCCCAGGCTAGATTGCCATGGCATGATATCAGCTCACTGCAACCTCCACCTCCTGGGTTCAAGTGATTCTCCTGCCTCAGCCTCCCGAGTAGCTGGGACTACCAACGTCCACCACCATGCCCAGCTAATTTTTGTATTTTTAATACAGACGGGGTTTCACCATGTTAGCCAGGATGGTCTCAAACTCATGACCTCATGTGATCCACCCGCCTCGACCTCCCAAAGTGCTGGGATTACAGGCATGAGCCACGGTGCCCAGCCAGAAGAGACTAATTTATACTGGCCTGGTCCAAGCATCTTGGGATGACAGTATACTACAGATGTCTGTTTTGATTCCAGGTTAACTTTAGTTTTAAGTCACCTGTTGAGGTACTGTTTCAGTCAGGAGTGAGGGCCTTTTTAAAATGAAATGTGGATCCAGGAGTCAATACCTTTCAGCATGTCGACATAGGGACTGGCGACAGGGAGCAATATGAACCCTTTCAATGAGACTGACAAGAGTTCTTATGTAAGTGTCTTCTCCAGTAGACAAAGTCAACAGGTTGCAGACTGTGGTGTTTCAGATCTTCATCTACCAGGAGTGCACTAAGCAAAGATCGTTCTACCAAAGTACAAAAAGTTTAATTTTTTTTTTCTTTTTTTGAGACAGAATCTCACTCTGTTGCCAAGGCTGCAGTGCAGTGGCACAATACTGACTCACTAAAACCTCCGCCTCAAGCAAGCCTCCTGCCTCAGCCTCCCATCTAGCTGCGATTACAGGCGCATGTCACCGCGCCCAGCTAATTTTTATATTTTTAGTAGAGATGGGGCTTTGCCATGTTGGCCAGGCTAGTCTCAAACTCCTGACATCAAGTGATTTGCCTGCCTTGGCCTCCCAAAGTGCTGAGATTACAGGCAGGAGCCACCACGCCTGGCCAAGAGTATAATTTTTATATGTTGTTTTGACAATGTCCTTACGATACTGGAGTATATCTCCTTTTATCAACTCTGACTAAAAAAGCAGAGTGACCTAAATGTACAAAACAGCCTGTGATTGTTTTTAAAGATGAAAGTTTGTGAGCCCCAAAGGATGGACAGCTTTCAAATTTATTAACACCAAAGGAAGAACCTGAGGCCAAAAAAGCTGTTAGGTTTCCATAAATTTTGCCAACTGGGTTTTTACAGTTGCATTTCTTTGTTCTGCCAGGAATAAGATGGGGGATGATATAAGCACAATGAAAATCCTGTAAAATTTGCCAAATTAAATGTACCTGTTTAATTACATGGCCAGAAAAGCAGATTCTTTATGGTGTTCTTTATAGAACTTTACAAAACACTATGAACTTCAAGGGGAGTTCCCCAAATGGGAATAATTTTCTCAAGAATAATTTTGGCCATGGTTGAAGCAATGGCTTGTCTATAAAGAAAAATTTCCACCTGATAAGAAAACATACAGATCATAACCAATACATATTGCATACCCATGGGAAGGAGGTAACTGGATAAAATTCAATTGCCAAACCTAGAATGGCTTATTACATAAATTACAATCTCCAGGAAGAATGTGTACATATAGCTTTTCCTGGATTAAACTCAGAATAAATGGCATAATAAGCCAAATAAGGAATCTTGGCAGGTTTTTCTTTGTTTTATGTTGCTTCTCAATACTGTTTTATAAAAGAAATCAATTTGTCAGTTATCAAAGGAATCAAATTATATACTATAGTTAACAGTGGATATTTTATTGAATTTGGGAGAAAAGGTTTATTATCAGGTCCAAATCATAGTTTTCTTTTATCATCAAACCAGTAGCCATGATTTTTCTAATTCTGTTTTTCAGCTTCTGGAGCCAAATTTTGTACACCTCTGGCTGATCGCTCTTAAATTATCTTCTGAAATCTCTTTCAGTGGGACGACAGAGATCTGACTGACAAGCTTTAATAGCAGCATTTCTTACAGCATTATCAGCAAGGTGGTTTCCTGTAGCCTCAAGAGTCTAACCATGGCCAGGCACAATGGCTCATACCTGTAATCTCAGCACTTTGGGAAGCCAAGGTGGGCGGATCATATGAAGTCAGAAGTTCCAAGACCAGCCTGGCCTAGATGGTAAAATCCCATCTCTACTAAAAATACAAAAATTAGCCAGGCGTGGTGGCGCATGCCTATAATCCCAGCTACTCAGGAGGCAGACAGGAGAATCAGTTGAACCTGGGAGGCAGAGGCTACAGTGAGCCAAGATAGCACCACCGCACTCTACCCTGAGCAACAGGGTGAGATTCTGTAACAAAAGAAAAAGCAAACCAAAAAAAAAAAAAAAAAAAAAAAGTAAAGAAAAGAGAGAAAAAAGTCTAAGAGTTAGTCTAACCCTGAATGTCCAGGAATTCTTTTAATAGTCAACACAGCTGGTGGCTGAATGACATCCAGTAAGTCTCGTACAAGGGTCAACTCCTCCAGTGGAAATAAGGAAACCAATTTGTTTTTGGCTTTTTTTGTTTGTTTTGAGAGAGAGTCTCACTCTGTTGCCCAGGCTGGAGTGCAGTGGCACAATCTCAGCACTTTGCAACCTCCACGTCCCGTGCTCAAGTGATTCTCCTGCCTCAGCCTCCCGAGTAGCTGGGACTACAGGCCCACGCCACCATGCCCAACTAATTTTTGTATTTTTAGTAGAGATGAGGTTTCACCATGTTGGGCAGGCTGGTCTCAAACTCCTGACCTCACATGATCTGCCCATCTGGGCCTCTCAAAGTGCTGGGATTACAGGCGTGAGCCACCGTACCCGGCCAAATCCTATTTGTTCCTATAACATTTTACAATCATGAGCAACCCCAAAGGCATATCTGCTATCTGTGTGTATATCACATATACACACACAATCATTAAGGTGGAGGGGTGTCTCATCAGAAGGAAGGGGTAAAAGAGTCACAGGAGTAAGACTGTTACATCAAGAAGAGTTCTGTGAGGAGGAAGAGTCAGCAAAAGAATTTCATAAGAGGTAAGATGACTGGCAAAGATGTGTTGTTATGATGTAAATTTAGAAGAGCTTTGATACTATGGGAAACAAAGGTGGTTAAGGGAGATACCATGATAATTTCTTTGGTGGATTTGACTAGTAGGGCAGTGGCTGGGATAGTTCTCGAATGGGGGATAATCTTTGAGCTACTGGATCTAGTTGCTGACTGCAATATCCAACGGGGCAATGTTATCTCGATTTTTCTGAGTCAGACATGCATTTTCTTTCTTTTCACAAAAAGAAAGACAGTTGGCTGGGCATGGTGGCTCAAGCCTGCAATCCCAACACTCTGGAAAGCCAAGGCGGGTGGAACACTTGAGCCCAGGAGTTCGAGACCAGCCTGGGACACATGGCAAAACCTCATCTCCACAAAAAATACAAAAAAAATTGTTTGGGCGCAGTGGCTCACGTCTGTAATCCCAGCACTTTGGGAGGCCAAGGCGGGCAGATCATGAGGTCAGGAGATCGAGACCATCCTGGCTGACACGGTGAAACCCCACCTCTACTAAAAATACAAAAAATTAGCTGGGCTTGGTGACAGACGCCTGTAGTCCCAGCTACTCGGGAGGCTGCGGCAGAAGAATGGCATGAACCAGGGAGGTGGAGCTTGCGGTGAGCCAAGACTGCACCACTGCACTCCAGCCTGGGTGACAGAGCGAGACTCTCAAAAAAAAAAAAAATTAGCTGGGCACAGTGGCACATTCCTACAGTCCCAGCTACTGGGGAGCCTGAGGTAAGAGCCTCACTTGAGCCTTAAGTAGGGCATGTAGAAGTTAAGCAATCAAAGAAAAGTTTGGTGTCCAGTAGTAGCTGGTGTGTCTGAGAAACCCTCAAAGCTGCCATTTCATTTCAGGTTTAGGGAAGTGCAGGATGTCCTGAATCCATTCAGCGTCCAAATGTAGTCTTGTTTCAAGAAATTAGATGGCCCAGATATTTAACTTGTGTCTTACTAGTTATAACTTTTCTTTAGAAATCTTATGACATTTCGCAGCTAGATGTTTTAATAAATCAACACCATCTTCCTTACAAGCCAGCTACAGGGAAGAGGAACTAAGTAGATCATCTACATATCATAGTAAGGACAAGTCCCGGGGAAAACTTCCATCTCCTAAATCAGGCTTCAGAACTTGAGAGAAATAGAAAGGACTTTCAGTACAGTCCTGAGGCATAAGTCTAAATGAACTATTGTCCTTCCCCAGTGAAGCAAATAGTTACTCACTGGTTTGAACAACAAGGATAATGAAGAAGGCACTGCAGAAGTCAATTACAGCCAGGGGCAGTGGCTCATGCCTGTAATCCCAGTACTTTGGGAGGCTGAGGCAGGCAGATCACCTGAGGTCAGGAGTTTGAGACCAGCCTGGCCAACATGATGAAACCCTGTCTCTACAAAAATAGAAAAATTAGCCGGGCATGATGGCAGGTGCCTGTAATACCAGCTACTCAGGAAGCTGAGGCAGGAGAATCGCTTAAAATCAGGAGGAAGAGGCTGCAGTGAGCCAAGATCGCACCATTGCACTCCAGCCTGGGTGACTAAGCAAGACTCCATCTCAAAAAAAAAAAAAAAAAAAAAAAAAAGTCAATTGCAGTGGGCCAGGCACAGTGGCTCATTCCTGTAATCCCAGCACTTTGGGAGGCCAAGGTGGGCAGATCACCTGAGGTCAAGAGTTCGAGACCAGCCTGCTTAACATGGTGAAACCCTACCTCTACTAAAAGTACAAAAATTAGCCAGGCGTGGTAGCAAATGCCTGTAATCCCAGCTACTCAAGAGGCTGAGGCAGAAGAATCACTTGAACCCAAGAGATGGTGGTTGCAGCAAGCCAAGATCGTGCCACTGCACTCTAGCCTGGGGAACAAAGCAAGACTCTGTCTCAAAAAAAAAAAAGTCAATTACAGTGAAAAATTTACTATCAGTTGATATGAAAGTAAGGTGTTCTAAACAAATCTCTACCCTCAACCATGAAGTTTTTTTTAATTGGGAGAATAGAAGTCTTATAGGGGCTGGTAAAAGGAATTATTAAACCTTCAGCTTTGTATTCCTTAATTATAGGTTTTCCAACTTGTAAGGCAGATTGGCTCAACAGATATTAGGCAAAAGCTTGGCTGGATCAATTTGGATTTCAATTAGGGATGTATTACACAAGCATCTGATGATGATGTGGCCCATAAAGAGACAGATGTATGTTTCAATAGGGAATTTTGGGAGCCAGCAGAGATGTCTTCGGTGTGTGGGACACCGTAATAGAAAAGCAGGGCATGACTGGAAGAGTCCAGTGAACTATCCAGTTTATCAAACTCTAAAATTATGTCTCCCTTTTAAGGAGAAAGAGATGTCATCATGATTTTATTTTTTGTTTTAAGTCTTGTCCCAATAAATGAGCTGAAGCAGATTTCACCAATAAAAAGGGATGAATATCCTGTAAACGTCCAAGGCAAAAAGTAATGGGCTGGGACAGAAAGGTTGTCAATGGTTTATTAGAAACTCCCACTATTTGAATATTTTTATTATTCCAACACCGTGGCTGGTTGAGACTGGTGGGGCTGAGGACCAATATGGTTGCTCCTGTGTCTACAAGAATAGTCAGAACTTCACTGCCAATTTGAAGAAAGTTTTCTGTGAGGTGATTAAAAGAAAGGACTGGGAAAAACCCCAATGTGTCCTCAGAACCCCTTCATTCTAAAGGAGAAGCCAAAGAGATAAATGAAGAAGTCCATTTAGATAGCTTAAGTTTATGGCAACTTTTTTTGCAGTGGGATGGCTGTTTACATTAAGGACAGATTTCAGGAGGTTGCTTTTGTGAACTACAGTTGTGCCACGTAGAGCCCTAATTGTTTTCTGTGGGTGAATTTATCTGTTTTAACTGGAGGTACGTTCACCACTCACTGAAGCCTTGACCTCCCGGGCTCAACTAATCCTTCCATCTCAGCCTCTCAGCAGCTAGGACCACAAGTGCACACCCCCATACTCAGCTAATTATTTTTTTTTTTTTAAGAGACGGGGTCTCATTATGTTGCCAGGCTGGTATCAAATTCCCAGGCTCAAGCCATTGATCCTCCCACCTCAGGCTCCCAAAATGCTAAGATTACAGGCATTAGCCACCATGCCTGGCCTTTGCTGATATTTTTTTAGAGTGAGACAATTAATTTACCAAGTTAACAAGGTCAGGGGTTTGTACAGTCTCCCATTCCATGTTAGCTCTTTTAACTGAGAAATTCTATGTTAGCTCTTCTTGGGAGACCACTGACAAAATTAAGACCAATTCTAGTAGAGTCAACATCCACAGGAAAGCCAGAATTTTCTCTGAATACCACCTGGAGTCTGTTATAATGGTTATGAACCAGTTCATTTGGCTCTAGGATACAAGCTTGAATTTTATTCCAATCAATGGCTTTAGGAAATGCTTTGAGGATAACCCTATGTAAATTCTTTGCAAGTTGATACTTATCCCAATATCGTAGGCCAGAAGCTGAGGAAGTGGAGACAGGTCTCACAGGGGATAGATGCAACTGACCACTGAGTGTTGGGCTGGTCTCCCACAGGCACATGAGTACACTGATAAAGATTGGAAAGTGGCTGGGTGCAATAACTCATGCCTGTAATCTCAACATTCTGGAAGGCTGAGGCAGAAGGATCACTTGAGGCCAGGAGTCTGAACCTAGCCTGGGCAACATAGTGAGACCGTGTCTCAACAAAATAAAAAAAAATTAGCTGGGTGTGGTGGCACATCTCTGTGGTTCCAGCTACTCAGGAAGCTGAGGTGGGAGGTTCAGTTCAGCCCAGGAGGTTGGGGCTATAGTGAGCTATGATCATGCCACTGCCTAGGCTGCAGAGTGAGATGCTCCCATCTCTTTAAAAAAAAAAAAAAAACATTGGAGAAGACAGTCTGGTAAACTTGAAATGTAATGTTAAATTAGTCAGCAAAATGACAAGGGACCTCAATAACCTACGAAATTCCTTGGTTTGAGCACAGAGTTCAGCTTTAGCTCAAGGGACACAGGAAATCTGGGGAACCTCACAATTGTTAAACGGCCTAATAATAAAGGGAAAAGTTTTTGTAAGTAGAGGCTGGGAAGCAGAGGGAGGAAGAATAGTAGGGTAAGAAATATCATGGAAGAAGAAAAGTTTTGAAAAGTGAGGAAATATCACAATAGAACAGAAGCTTGAAAAGGTGGCACCTGAGAAATAGAAAAAGTTTGAATTTCTAAGTCCTTTTTCTCTGTTTGTCTGAGATCACCCAGAGAAGTATTTTGGAGCAAGGCAAATTCCGACTCTTAAATGCATTTGGATGCCTGAAGATACCAACTAAGGTATATGTCCAATTTAGACTGTTTTTTGGCCTTGGCCTTCTAATTTATCTCTGAGGAAAACAAATTTAGGAAGGTCAAAAGAACCCAATGAAGGCCACTGTAATCTCAAATTATCTTTAGTATAATCAGTTTATCAAGATAAGAAGATATGTGATAGCACACCATAATGTTTCAGCCTGGCCAACATAGTGAAACCCTCTACTAAAAATACAAAAATAATCAGCTATGTGTGGTGGTGCAGCCTGTAGTCCCAGCTACTCAGGAGGTTGAGGCAGAAGAATCACTTGAAACTGGGAGGTGGAGGTTGCAGTGCGCCGAGATTGCACCACTGCACTCCAGCCTGGGCAACAGAGTGAGACTCTGTCTCAAAAAAAAAAAAAAGAGAGAGACAGACCGTAATGTTTAAGCACATAACCAGCTGGAGTCCTCAATGGGGGAGTTACTTTCGCATGCCTTTGAACCCTGAAAGCCCATTTTGTAAATAAATCTAGGTGACTTGGTTTAACATCAAACACACAAAAGTCGAAATAAAAACCAAGTGCAAAAAGAGTAAAGTACTCACTAGAAAAAAAAAAAGACAAAACTTTCTTTAACAGGAGGGTGAAAGTCCCCATACACAGGAAGGGGAAAATCCCTCATAAACAAGAGGAAAAAGATCCCTCAAAAATTAAATCCAAAATAAAACTGGAAAGTTCAAACCACAAGAAATGGGAGTTCAATCCGAAAGAGACTTACCAAGTGGGGGAAAAAAAGCAACACACAGAAGCAGGAGGATCAAAGAGTACATAGTTCTGGGGCGGGGGGATGGGGAGGCCACTAAACCCCTCCAGGTGAGCTCACCTTGGATCCCACTTCTGACACCAGGTATGTCAAAAGCAAATAAAGCACAGAAACACATCTCTAAACAAGACATTTTATTTGGGAATATATAAAAACAGAATTGCAATTCAGGACATACACACAGAGCAGGATAATCTTTGGTATGTCTAAAGAACAAACAAAAGATTGGGGTTTTATTAGGAAAGAGAAATGTTGCATTAATTGCTTTGATAAAAAGCTTGTTGACATTAGCAAAGTTTTTCTGGAACCACCAAGCTGTAACTGGTAAGTGACAGCAGTAGGTAAAAGTTGCCTTAGAGTCAAGGCAGGTGGTTTTAGCAGCTACTAGGTAAAACTGGGCTTAAGTTTATACAAGGTCATTTTGGTGGCTGGGCTTGTGAGACAATCCCTGGAAGCATGTGCTTTGTACCATAAATGCTTTTTCCTCCTTGGCCCCTTGACTCCAGTTTAGCTAGGTATGACAATTAACCTCAATTTGTATAAATGATTTTCATAAGAGCATGGAGGATTTTTAGGGCAGTCAGA
Source organism: Homo sapiens (assembly GCF_000001405.40). Lineage (NCBI taxonomy): Eukaryota > Metazoa > Chordata > Mammalia > Primates > Hominidae > Homo > Homo sapiens. The sequence goes on from NC_000003.12 coordinate 136,696,435, forward strand.
CAACAGTGTATGATTCTATAATGGTGGGTGCATGCTATATTTGACAAAACCCATAGAATGTACACCACCAAGAGTAAATACTAATGTAAACTATGAACTTTGAGTGATAATGAGTCAGTGTAGGTTCATCAACTATAACAAATGTACCAATCTGCTGACAGTGGGGGAGGTTGTGCATATTGGGGGAGTGAAGAGGGGTTTTTTGTGAACCCTCTATACTTACTGCTCAATTTTGCTGTAAATCTTAAACTTCTTTTTAATAAAAGGAATGAAGTATTAATAAACAAACAACATGTATGAATCTCAAATGCACTGTGCTTAATAAAAGAAGCCAGGCTAAAAAGGTTACATATCAAATGATTCCGTATGTATGACATTCTGAGAAAAGCAGAACCACGAATAAGAAAACAGGTCACTGTTGCTAGGACCTGAGGTTCATGAAAGGAATGATCAAAAAGGGTATGAGGGAAATGTTAAAACTCTTCTATATTTTGATTCTGTTGATGGTTGCACAACGGATGCACATGAAACTCATGAAACTGAACACTAAAAAAAGTTTTGAATTTTACCGTATGTAAATTATACTCAGGGTGGAGGAACGTTTGTTGTCTTTAACATCTGTGGCGATATTCTTTTTGCTAAGTTAGTATTTATGATGCTTGGGACTTTTCATTGCAAATGAAATTTTAAAGTTTATTTCTGACTTACAATGAATAAAGCCTTTCCACTTTATAAATTAAAATTTTCCACACTTAACATTTTTTACCTTGAAATCTATTACACTTTCTATGTTGCTTATGAACTTAGTTTTCTCACTTAATATTGCATATGTTCCAAATTAAGCAGGTAGTTCCCAATCCCAGTCAGGGTACAGTTCTCAAAGTGTGAAACTAAAAGCATCTGCATCAACTGCAAGTTGTTCGAAATGCAAAATCTCAGTTCCCACCCGACCAACTGAATCACACTCAGTTTGGGATCTTCCAGGTGATTCTAAAACAGTTTAAGAATCACTATCTTTACCCTCTAAATAATTAAATCAGGTTCTCTGGGGATGAGATCCAGCCACCAGCATTTTTTTTAACTCCCTAGATGATTCTAATGTGTGGTCACAGTTGATTTTGATTCAGAAAATCTTGGGAGGGCACCAGACATCATATTTTTAACAATTCCAATTATTTCTAATGTCAATAGCCTAAAGTAGAAAATAAAGCATTCTCTCACAAATACTGACTACCATCTTCTGCTATAATGCAATGTACTTTTTCTCACTGGAAAACTCCGTTTACTTCAGCTCCCTGGAATTAGACACAACCCAGGCATTTTGAAATCTGGAATTATCCAACTAAGAGGAACAGAATATAAAGAGATTAAAACATCTTCAGCCTGATTACATTCCCAGGAAGTGTATCTTGTGTTAATATAGGGATTAGAAGATACATTTATAGAAATGGGACTGCACCACAAATGTTTCAATAAATAAACATCAGGTGCATTTAGCAGAAGTCAGATGTCCACAGCCATATTTTACTGTTTTCTTATGAAATACACATTATAACTATATAGACAGAGCAAGATTACGTCTTGGGAAAAAAAAAAGAAAGAAAGAAAATCTAAGACCTGAAACCACAAAAATTCTACAATATCAGAAAAACTCTTCTAGACATTGGCTTAGGCAAAGAATTCATGACTAAGACCTCAAAAGCAAATGCAACAAAAATAAAAATAAATGGGACCTAATTAAACTAAAAAGCTTCTGCACAGCAAAATAATCAGCAAACAGGCAACCTACAGAATGGGAGAAAATATTCACAAACTGTGTGTCTGACAAAGGACTAGTATCCTGAATCTACAAGGAACTCAAATCAGCAAGAAAAAAACAATCCCATCAAAAAGTGGGCAAAAGACATGAAGAGACATTTCTCAAAAGAAGATATACAGCTAACAAGCATGAAAAAATGCTCAACATCACTAATCATCAGGGAAATGCAAATTAAAACCACAATGAGATACCACCTTACTCCTGCAAGAATAGTCATAATTAAAAAGTCAAAAAACCAACAAACAGAGGAGCATGGATGTGGTAAAAAGGCAACATTTTTACACTGCTGGTAGGAATGTAAACTACTACAACCACTACGGAAAACGGTATGGAGATTACTTAAACAAAAGTAGAACTACCATTTGATCCAACAATCCCACTGCTGGGTAAAGGTAAAGAAGCCAGGCTAAAAAGGTTACATATCAAATGATTCCGTTTGTATGGGTATCTTGCTGGGTATCTAAGCAAAGGAAAAGTCATTATATGAAAAAGACACATCCACATGCATCTATATAGCAGCACAATTCACAATTGCAAAGATATGAATCCAACCTAAGTGCCCATCAACCAATGAGTGGATGAAATAAAGAAAATATAGTATATATACACCATAAAATACTCCTCAGCCACAAAAAGGAATGAAATAATGTCTTTCACAGCTACTTGGATGGAGGTAGAGGCCATTGTTCTAAGTGAAGTAACTAAGGAATGGAAAACCAAATATGGTTATGCTCTCACTTCGAAGTGGGAGCTAAGCTATGAGGACATAAAGGCGTAAGAATGATATAATGAACTTTGGGGATTTGGGCAGTGGAGGAAGGTTTGGAAGGGTGTGAGGGTTAAAAGCCTACATATTGGGCACAGTGTACACTGCTTGGGTGACAGGTACAGTAAAATCTCAGAAATCACCACCAAAGAATTTATCCATGTAACGAAAAATCACCTGTACTCCCAAAACTATTGAAATAAAAAAGAAAGAATGACTTCCTTTAATGTCTCAATAGCCTACTTAATTTTATAGGAAGAAAATGTCTTTGCTGAGACCACTGCTTTATTCAAATACTTAAGAATTTCTGGTCTGTTTATCCACACCATCAAATATTATTACTATCTCTAGAATTAGTCAACTGCATTTTCTTTTCTTTTCTTTTTTTAAAGACAGGGTCTTGCTCTGTCACCCAGGCTGGAATGCAATGGCATAATCACAGCTCACTGCAACCTCTGCCTCCCGAGCTCAGACGATCCTCCCACCTCAGATTTACAAGTAGCTGGGACTAAGCGCCACCACGTCTAATTTATTTTTTTTTTTTTTATGGTAGATGGGGTTTCACCACATTCTGGATTACCAGGGTGAGACATGTCTTTCACAGCTACTTGGATGGAGGTAGAGGCCATTGTTCTAAGTGAAGTAACTCAGGAATGGAAAACCAAATATGGTTATGCTCTCACTTCGAAGTGGGAGCTAAGCTATCAGGACACATCCTTTGTGTATCCTTTCAGAAAAAAAAAATCCTAGATGATACTAATGTAATATATAATCCAAATCACTAGGTTGATGACAACCACTAAATTAAAATATACAAAACGATCACTTCCACATCCCAGGTTTTTCTGAAAGAAAAATACTTTCAGATGAAGCGGTAAGAAATTAAGAGCAAGCAGGTTTGATACATCCGAGGAAATACAAAGAACCCTCCCAAGGAGCCATATCACATGTACATCTGCTTTAAATGCTATGCCTATTACTATTCACAGCCCTCTGTTCTTCCTCTTGCCTGTAAGTTTACTTTAAAATATCTAAAATTGCCCTGTGTTGAAGAGAAACCATTTATTCTTCCCTTTCTCCTCTGTGCTGTTCTACAACATGCCTATAATGTGACAGTCCTTCCAGTTCCTAATTTTCATATACCTCCCAAATTGTTTCTTTTTCTCTATCTAGGATGCTTTGCCTAGAATATGGTCTTCAGAAAAAATTATTTCTGGATGCTCATGCTATCCTCATTCCTAATTTTGAGCAATAAAGAACTAAGAAAGACTTGAAGATAAAGGATCACTAAACTAGGTTTCGAATCTCGGTCTGCTGAATAACTAAAAGTATTTAATCTTTTAAACTCATTCAATTTTCTCATCTGTTAAATGAACATATACAACTAAATTACTTCTTCTTTTTTTTTTTTTTATTTGAGACAGAATTTCGCTCTTGTTGCCCAGGCTGGAGTACAATGGTGTGATCTCTGCTCACCGCAACCTCCACCTCCCAGATTCAAGCAATTCTCCTGCCTCAGCCTCCCAAGCAGCTGGGATTACAGGTGCCCGCTACCACGCCCGGCCAATTTTTTGTATTTTTAGTAGAGACGGGTTTCACCATGTTGGCCAGGCTGGTCTCGAACTCCTGACCACAGGTGATCCACCCACCTTGGCCTCCCAAAGTGCTGGGATTACAGGCATAATAGACCATAGAGCTAGCCACAGAACTAAATTATTTCAAAAGTCCCTTCCAGTTACTGAAAATATGAATCAACGATCCTGTTCATTTATAATGGGATTACTAGCAGAAATTAACACACGGTCTCTCAAGAACAACTTAAAAAAACATAAATGTGTGTGTGCTCTATTTTTTTTCTTTTTTTTTTTTTTTTTTTTTTTGAGATGGAGTCTCACTCTGTCACCCAGGCTGGAGTGCAGCGGCATGATCTTGGCTCAATGCAACCTCGACCTCCCGGGTTCAAGTGATTCTCCTGCCTCAGCCTCCCGAGTAGCTGGAACAACGGGCACATGCCACCACACTTGGCTAATTTTTGTATTTTTAGTAGAGACAGGATTTCACCACGTTGGCCAGGCTGGTCTCAAACTCTTGACCTCAGGTGATCCACCCGCCTCGGCCTCCCAAAGTGCTTGGCCTCCCAAAGTGAGCCACTGCACCCAGCCTGCTCTCAACTATTTTAAGTTGACATGACAATCCCTACCTTGATTTAGTGCATCTTCAGAAAACTCTGAATATTGTCCTTATTTTTTAATATCCAACTTATCAGGAAAAACATATTAAAATACTCCTATTTTTGTAAAAACTGAATTTTATCCTTGACCTTTTTGCTTCTTGATTAAAACTTAACCTCAAACTGACACACCACCACCACCATTCCCATCCTCGTGTGTGTGTGTGTATAAAATCCTAAAAGGAAAATAGTCTCTATAAAGTAGTGCTTACCCTACACATTTTCAGACAAATCCTAGAAGTTATTGTATCCTATAATCAAAAGCAGCTCAGTAAAATAAAAAATAAGAAAGATCTGAACTCGCTTCCTACCTCTGCCACTTAACAGCCGGTATGCCCCCCGGATGTAAATATGTTGAATCTCTCTGAGCATCAATTTTCTCAACTGAAAAAATCAAGATAACACCTATCTTACAGGAATTCTCTGAGGATTAAAATAGATCATCTAATAAATCAGTATCCCTGGAATACAGCAATCACTCAATAAAAGGCAGTTAATGCTTCTGAGAGAATCATTATACAAACTCCTTCTTTATAGGCACTGAAACTTCAAATGAAAATTGTTATCACAAAATTATCAAGAGCTTCAACAGGATACAGACTAGAGAAAAAAATTATCGAGAGCTACTTCTACTTCTTTTCCCCCAGAGTTTTACTGTGCAAGATAAATTAGATTTTAACTGCTAAGTCAAACTTAATAGGTATTCTTTTACTCTTTTTTTTTTTTGAGGTAAGCTCACAGCAGTCTCCAACTCCCAAGCTCAAGTGATCCTCCTGCCACAGCCTCCCAAGTAGCTAGGACTACAGGCATGCACCACCATGCCGAAAGAGAGAGAGAGAGAGAGAGAGAGAGAGAGAGAGAGAGAGAGAGAGACAGAGAGACAGAGAGACAGAGAGACAGAGAGACAGAGAGAATGAGAATGTGGTGTGTGTGTAAAGACATGATCTCACTATGTTCAGCCCAGGCTGGTCTTGAACTCCTCTTGCCTCATCCTCCCAAAGTGCTTTTACATTTATTTTTTAAGTAAAAATCACTACTTATAAAATTATTTCCAATAAATATTGGTCAATATTAAATTAACAAATTACTAAGTTAAATCCACAAATAAACTTACCAAGTTCAGTTATAAAATCACTTACAATTTTTTCTTCTTTTGAGATGGAGTCTTGCTCTGTTACCCAGGCTGGAGTGCAATGGCGCGATCTCGGCTCACCGCAACCTCCGCCTCCCGGGTTCAAGTGATTCACCTGCCTCAGGCTCCCAAGTAGCTGGGATTACAGGTGCCCGCCACAACACCCAGCTAATTTTTTATTTTTAGTAGAGATGGGTTTTCACCATGTCGGCCAGGCTAGTCTCGAACTCCTGACCTGAGGTGATCCACCCACCCTGGCCTCCCAAAGTGCTGGAATTACAGGAGTGAGCCACCATGCCCTGCCTCACTTACAACTGAACTTAAAAACTGACTTCAATTATCCAGGTTCATTCAGATTTTAAGCTAGGAAACAGGAGATAACGTCAATATATAAAACTAAAGGCCGGGCCAGGCACGGTGGCTCACACCCGTAATCCCAGCACTATGAGAGGCCGAGGCGGGCAGATCACGAGGTCAGGAGATCAAGACCATCTTGGCCAACATGGTGAAACCCCGTCTCTACTAAAAATACAAAAATTAGCTGGGCATGGTGGCGCACACCTGTAATCCCAGCTACTCAGGAGGCTGAGGCAGGAGAATCATTTGAACCCGGGAGGCACAGGTTGCAGTGAGCTGATATTGCGCCACTGCACTCCAGCCTGGCAACAGAGGAAGACTCCATCTCAAAAAAAAAAAAAAAAAAAAAGTAAAGGCTGAGGTGACATCATGGAAGATGGCCAAGTTAAGAAGCTCCAAGAAAAAGTTCTTCCACTGAAACAATTATAAAGCTGGCAAGAACTACAAGAAATCAACTATTCCAGAACTCTAAAAGTCTAGTCAAACACTTATAGTGTCCATGAGTGGGCAGGATGAAGAAAGTCATTGGTTAACACTGGTGAATTTCTATATTCCATGTAGCAGCTACCATCCCCCATTCACCAGCTAGGAGGCAAGCACTTATCAGGACAGCAGCCCACCTTTCTGATTCAGCTTGCTGATGTCAGGGTGGACAATAAGTGCCTTGTTCAAAAATTGGGGTTGTGTGTTTTTATCTGCCTGGTGGATCACTAAGGGACCTGCATGGAGGCTGACCACTGTTTCAATCCCATTGAGCTAAAGTGATTTATTGAGCGGCATTGCTCAGTAAACATAAAACACAGAAAACTTTTTTTCTTTACTGGATTCAGACACTCAAGGATCTGACAGGTCACTAGCTGACCACGAAGATAACAGAACATAGGCTTCAGTGACCACACACAAATAGCAAAGTGGCAAGAGTTCTTCCTTATCAGCAATTACTTTAAATGTAAACAGCTTAAAATCGACAATTAAAAAACGTAGACTGGGGCTGGGCTCAGTGGCTTATACCTGGAATCCCAGCACTTTGGGAGGCTGAAGCAGGTGGATCACCTGAGGGCAGGAGTTCAAGACCAGCCTGGCCAACATGGTGAAACCTGGTCTCTACTAAAAATACAAAATAATTAGCCAGGCATGGTGGCACACACCTATAGTCCCAGCTACTCAGGAGGCTGAAGCAGGAGAATCGCTTGAACCTGGGAGGCGGAGGTTGCAGTGGGCCAAGACTGTGTCACTGCACTCCAGGCTGGGTGACAGAGCAAGACTCCATCTCAAAAACTAACAAACAAAAAAACACAGATTGGCATAAATGATTTTTTTTTTTTTTTTTGAGATGGAGTCTCACTCTGTCGCCCAGGCTGGAGTGCAGTGGTGCGATCTCGGCTCACTTCAACCTCTGCCTCCCAGGTTCAAGTGATTCTCCTGCCTCAGCCTCCCAAGTAGCTGCGATTACAGGAGTGCACCACGACGCCTGGCTACTTTTTGTATTTTTAGTAGAGACAGTATTTCACCATGTTGGCCAGGCTAGTCTCGAACCCCTGACCTCAGGTGATCCGCCTGACTTGGCCTCCCAAAGTACTGGGATTACAGGCGTGAGCCAACGAGCCCAGGCATGATTTTTTTAAAGATGCAACTATATGCTAGTTAAAAGAGATTCACTTTAGCCTCAAAGACACATATAACTTAAAAGTAAAAGGATGGAATTATTTATATCATGCAAACAGTAACCAAAAGAGAGGAAGGGCAACAAAACTGATAGTAGACAAAGCAGATTATAAATCAAAAGTTGTTACAAAAGACAAAGAATGGCCGGGAGTAGTGGCTCATGCCTGTAATCCCAGCACTTTGGGAGGCCCAGGCAGGCAGATCACTTGAGCTCAGGGGTTCCAGACCAACCTGGGAAACATAACAAAACTCCGTCTCTACCAAAAATACAGAAAATTAGCCAGGCGTGGTGGCATGCATCTGTAGTCCCAACTACTCAGAAAGCTGAGGTGAGAGAATCGCTTGAGCCTGGGGGGTTGCAGTGAGCTGAGATCATGTCACTGCACTCCAGCCTGGGTGAAGAGTGAGTCCCTGTCTCAAAAAAAAAAAAAAAAAAAAAAAAAGATAAAGAAGAATGCATAGTGATAAAAGGGTTAATTCATTAAGAAGATATAACAATTACACACAAAACAATGGAGCCCCGAAATTGTGTGCAAACACTGAGAGAACTAAAAGTAGAAATAGTTCAACAATAATACCTAACAATAAACTTCAATATATAATAAACTTCAATATAACAATAATAAAACTTCACTTTCAATAATGGCTAAAACATCTAGACAGAAGATCATTAAGAAAATTAAAAAACCTGGCCAGGCGCAGTGGCTCACGCCTGTAATCCCAGCACTTTGGGAGGCCAAGGCAGGCGGATCACAAGGTCAGGAGTTCGAGACCAGCCTGGCCAACACAGTGAAACCCCATCTCTACTAAAAAATACAAAAAATTAGCCACACGTGGTGGCATGCGCCTATAATCCCAGCTATACACCATGAACAAGTAAGATTTAGCCCAAGAATGAAGGATGGTTTATCATAAGAAAATCAATCAATGTAATACATGATATTAACAGAAGGAAAAATATCACATGATCATCAAACACACACACACACACACACACACACACACACACACACACACACACAACGAAGTTCAACGTATGATATTGTTTTGCTGTGTCCCCACCCAGATCCTGAATTGTAGCTCCCATAATTCCCACGTATTGTATTGTAGCTCCCATAATTCCCATGTATTGTAGGAAGGAAAGATGGGAGGTAATTGAATCATGGGGGTGGGTCTTTCCCATGCTGTTCTCGTGATAATGAATATAAGTCTCATGAGATCTGATGGTTTTATAAAGAAGAGCTTTCCTGCACATGCTCTCTTTGCCTATTGCCATGTCAGATGTGACTTTACTCCTCCTTTGTCTTCTGCCATGATTCTAAAGCATCCCCAGCCATTTGGAATTGAGTCAATTAAACTTCTTTCCTTTATAAATTACCCAGTCTCAGGTTTGTCTTTATTAGCAGTGTGAGAATGAACTAATACAACATATTATCAGGCTAAAAAACAAACAAATGGCCAGACACAATGGCTCATGCCTATAATCCCAGCATACCGAGAGGCCAAGGTGGGAGGATCACTTGAGCCCAGGAGTTCAACAACAGCCTGTCTTGCCCAGACAGAGGCCAAGGTGGGAGGATCACTTGGGCACAGGAGATCAAGGCTACCATAAGCCATGATCATGCCACTGCACTCCAGTCTGGAAGACAGAGTGAGACCCTGTCTCAGAAATAAACAAACAAACAAAAAACTCAGGAAACCAGCAATAAAAGGGAGCTTAATGTGATAAGATGCATTTATGAAAAGCCTACAGTTAACATCATACTCAATGGTGAATAACTAAAAGCTGTCCCTCTAACATCAGAAATAAGACAAGAAGCCCACTTTCAACACTGCTAGCCAGGCAAGAAAAGAATTTAAAGGCATTCATATTGGAAAGGATGAAGTGTAACTATCTCTAGTCGCACATGACACAATCCTATATATAAAATATTCCAAAGAATCAACAAAAAATTCCCACTAAACTGATAAAAAAATTGAGCAAAGTTGCAGGGTATAAGATCAATATACATAAATCAGTTGTGTTCCTACACATAATAATCCAAAAAGGAAAGAAAACAAATTTATGATAACATCCAAAAATTAAAATATCTAAAAACAAATTTAACCAAGAAGGTGAAAGATTTGCAGAGAACTATAAAACACTGTTAAAAGAAATTAAGACTTAATTAAATGGAAAGACATCTAACATTCCCCAATTAGATCATTTAATATTGTTAAAATGGCAATACTCTCCAAAACAACGTACAGATTCGGTGCAACCCCTATAAAAATTCCAATGGACTTTTTTGCAAAAATGGAAAGTCCAATCCTCAAACTCATACAGAATTGCAAGGGGTCCCAAACAGTCAAAATAATATTGAAAAAGCACAATAAAATTTGAGACTAAAACTTTCCAATTTCAAATTTACTACAAAGCCAAGGGAGTCAAAACAGTGTGGTATTCGCATAAGGACAGAAATATAGACCAATGGAATAGAATGAGAGTTCAAAAATACACTCTATGGTCAACTGATTTTTGACAAGGGTACACGACAATTCAACGGGGAAGAAATAGTCTCTTCAACAAATGGTATTGGGATAATGTGATACCCACAAGCAAAAGAATGAAGTTGGACCCTTACCTCACGCCATACTAAAAATTAAATCAAAATGGATCAGTGGCCTAAATATAAAGGCTAAAATTATAAGCTCTTATAAACTCTTAAGAGAAAACATAGAAGTAACCTACTCCACTGAATTTGGAAATGGTTTCTTACATGACACCAAAAGCCCATGTACCTAAAGAAAAATTATATAAACTGGACCTTGTCAAACTTAAAAGCTTTGTGCATCAAAGGACATTATCAAGAAAGTTAAAAGACAACTCACAAAATGAGAGAAAATACTTACGGGTCCAGTATCCAGACTACATAAAGAACTCTTACAACTCAACAACAAAAGACAAACAATCCAATTTACAAATGGGCAAAGGACTTGAAAAGACATTTTTCCAAAGAAGATAAACGAATGGCCAACAAGCACATGAAAAAATGTTCAACTTCATCGGTCATTAAAAGAATGCAAGTCAAAACCACAAAAAGATACTACTTTACAAACTTTAGAATAGGGTATTAGTCCATTTTGTGTTGCTTATAACAGAATACCTGACTGGTAATTTATAATGAAAAGAAGTTTCATGGTTCTGCAGCCTGAGAAGTTCAAGGGTTCAAGGGCATGGCCCTAGCTTCTGGCGACAGCTTTTGTGCTACTTTACAACATGGCAGAAAAGGTCAATGGGGAAGTGGACACATGCAAAGAGGGGAAAGTGTGAGGGATGTCGCGGCTTTACAACAACACACTCTTGCCGGAATTAATCCATTCCCTCAAGAATTAATACAGTCTCTAGAAAGCAAGAATTCACTCACTACAGTGAGAACAGCACCAGCAATTCATGAAGGATCTGCCCTCATAACCCAAATACCTCCCAATAGGTCCCACCTCCCAATATCACCACACTGGGGATCAAATTTCAACATGAGTTTTGGTGGTACAAACAAATCATATTCAAACAATAGCAGGCGGCTATATTTTTTTAAAAAAAAGGAAAACAGCAAGTGTTAGCAAGGATGTGAAGGAATAGGAACTCTCATACATTGCTAGTAGAAATGTAAAATGATGCCAGCCACTGTCGAGAACAATTTGGCATTTCTCAAAAAGATAAACAGAATTACCACATGATCCAGAAATTCCACTTCTAGGTATACACCCAAGAAAAATTAAAATATATATCCACACAGCAATTTGTACATAAATGTTAATAGCAGCATTATTCATAATAGCCAAAAGGTGCATCAACAAATGAACTAAGAAATAAATGTGGTATATACATACAATTGAATGTTATTTAGCCATAAAAATTAAGTACTAATATATGCTATAACTTCGATAAACATTGAAAACATGACACTAAGTAAAAGAAGCCAAATATTATATAATTTTATTTATAAGAAATATAATAAATAAGCAAATCCATAGAGATAGAAAGCATATTAGTGATTGCCAGGAGACTGGGGGGGAGGGTGTCAAGGAAATAGGAAGTTATTACTTACGGATATGAGATGCTCTTTTGGTATAATGAAAACATTTTGAAACTAGAGATGATTGCACAACAACACAATTGCACTAAATGACACTAAATGGTATACTTCAAAATGGTTAAATATATGTTATGTGAATTTCATCTCAATAAAAAAAGACTCAGTACTGGAAAGCCAGTATGAAGTATCAAACACTAATATGAAATAAACAGTTTCTAGGCTTACTATGTTGGTATTACTACTATATAGCTACTTAAAATTGTTAGGTGCTTAGTTTCACCCCTCCCATCCCATTCGTCAACAAGTTATTTATAGTTAAAAGTCATGGAAGTTTTGTAACATGTAGTAAATCCTGACAATTATTTAAGTTGGGGTACAGTGGCACAATCACAGCTCACTGCAGCCTCAACCTTCGAGGCTGAATCAACCCTCCCACCTCAGCCTCCCAAGTAGTTGGACCACAGGCATGTACCACTGCAGCTGGCTTTTTTTTTTTTTTTTTTTTTTTTTTAAAGACAGGGTCTCAGCCAGGTGCGGTGGTTCACATCTGTAATCCCACCACTTTGGGAGGCTGAGATGGGTGGATCACATGAGGTCAGGGGTTCAAGACCAGCCTGACCAACATGGTGAAACCCTGTCTCTGCTAAAAATAAAAGAATTAGCTGGATGTGCTGGCGCATGCCTGTAGTCCCAGCTACTCAGGAGGCTGAGGCAGGAGATTCACATGAACCCGAGAGGTGGAGGCTGAAGTGAGCCGAGATCATGCCACTGCACTCCAGCCTGGGCGACAGAGCGAGACTCTGTCTCAAAAAAAACAAAAAAAGACAGGGTCTCATTATGTTGCCCAGGCTGCCTAATTTATAACTAACTTAAATGAAGACAAATTTATTATATAGGAAAGCAGGTTACCATATCATTTACATAGAAGAACTCCAGTTATTTCTGAGTTTTGGTGAATTTTTCTCTAATCAATGAAGGGGCCCAGCTCACTCCTATAATCACAGCAATTTGGGAGGTCGAGGCAGGAGGACTGCTTGAGGTCAGGAGTTCAAGACCAGCCTGGGCAACATCATGAGACCCATCTCTAAAAAAATAAAATAAAATTAGCTAGGCATGGTGGCATACACCCGTTGTCCCGGCTACTAGGGAGACTGAGGTAGGAAGATCACTTGATCCCAGGAGTTCAAGGCTACAGTAAGTTATAACCAAGCCACCTCATTCCAGCCTGGGCAACAGAACAAGACCCTCTCTCTAAAGAAAGAAGGTGGGGGGCCGGACAAGGTAGCTCATGCCTGTAATCCCAGCACTTTGGGAGGCCAAAGTGTGTGGATCACCTGAAGTCAAGAGTTGGAGACCAGCCTGGCCAACATGGTGAAACCTCATCTCCACTAAAAATACAAAAATTAGCTGGGCATGGTGGCACACACCTGTAATCCCAGCTACTGGGAAGGCTAAGGCATGAGAATCGCTTGAACCCAGGAGGCAGAGGTTTCAGTCAGCCAAAATTGCAACACTGCACTCCAGCCTGGGCAACAGAGTGAGACCCCATCTCAAAAAATAAAATAAAATAAATTTTTAAAAGGTGGGGAGGAGGGATTGGGAACTCCAGATAAGTATCAGACTTTATTCATAAAACAATACAACAGCATTTTTGGGGGGCTACATATACCCCTGGAAACATGCTGGGGTTTTTGTTCTTTTTCCTTCCTTTCTGGATAACCTGTCCTTAAGACCCAGAAAAGTTCACCCAAACACAATTCCAACATTAAGTTTTTATAAAAATGCTTATCAACTTTCACACAGTAATACAGTCTGATTTTATAATGGTTTTCCAGAAACTAAGCTGTTAAAATTTTGTTTTATCATTCTCTTCTCCATGCTATTTCATTTTCCCTGTATTCTGATCCTTTTCTTCCTCTCTATTACAGTGCTCCAATTCCAAAGCTCTGGTTCAAGTATTCAGAAATAAGCATTTTTCTGTCTCTCTCACACACAACACTATGCAGTATTAAGCCTACCCGGTACTTTGCTTCTTTTCCATAGTACCAGAATTTCAAGTCTTTTTACTTCACTTCCACTGAAACAAGATTGCAATGTGCATACTGTATTTCACTTCGATGTTGGTTTAATTATAGCCCCTCCCCCCTCCAACCATCGAGCGAAGAAACTACCTAACCCAAAATAAAGTTTGCCAAGAAGAAAAATCTAAAACTTAAAAATAGTAAATAAACCATTTTATTTAACCAACTACTTTCATGAATAGATTAAAACCATAAATGAAACTAAATGCCAAAGTCCCCCTACCAAAAAAAAAATGAAGTGAAATGGTCATGTTATTGTGTTTGTATTTCAATATATGATACTTTACCCAGTCCTGCTTGAAAACAAAAAGGAAAATGACACCATCAGAAGCATTATTTGTGTACCATCCTGGACTCCCTTTGGCTTTATAAATACTGGAGATGCTTTAGACAATGACTTAAACCTATTATAGAATATAATTTTTCACAAAAACCTTTGCTATAAAACTCCTGGTTAAAGTATGACAATTTCTGAAATCCCACTTACAAAAAGAAAAATATATATATATATATATACTTACTATGGCATAAGAAAATCAAGTATCTAAGAATAAATCTAACAAAAGATATGCAAGACTTCTAACTAGAAAACCATAAAGGATGTCAATTCTGCCCATTCCAAAATTGATCTAAGGCAACAGTATAATCCCAACCAAAAGTCCAAAAGATTCTGTGGTTTGGTTGGAGGTTAAGTTGGTTACTCTGTTTACTTAGGGGGAGAAATTAATGCAGTGATTCTAAAATGTACATGGAAATGCAAAAGAACAGACTAGCAAATCTTTAAAAAGAACAAGCTGGGCAGCCTGAGTAACATAGGGAGCTCTCGTCTCTACAAATAATTTTAAAAATTAGCCAGGCATGGTGGCTCACACCTACGGTCCCAGCTACTCGGGAGGCTGAGACAGGAGGATCGTATAAGCCCAGGAGGTCAAGGCTACAGTACACTGTTATCACGCTACTGCACGCCAGCCTGGGAAACAGAGCGAGAGCATGTTTC
Organism: Homo sapiens; assembly: GCF_000001405.40. Taxonomy (NCBI): domain Eukaryota; kingdom Metazoa; phylum Chordata; class Mammalia; order Primates; family Hominidae; genus Homo; species Homo sapiens. Next base: position 136,711,561 of record NC_000003.12, read on the forward strand.
AAGGAAAAAAAAAAAGGATACTTATTCTACAGGATATTTAGATTTATTTTATTAAGCTCAATAAATGAGGCAGTGATATTGGTACAAGGCTAGACAGACTAATGTAACAGGATAAAGGCCCAGACACATAGCATGCATCTATGGACATGACTTATGAAAACACAACACTCCAGAGTGATGGCAAAAGTTTTTTTGTTTGTTTATTCATAAATGGTGCTGGAACAACTGGATATCCATTTGAAAAAAAAATAAAACTTGACCTAAAAACTACACACACACAAAAATCTATTCCAGGTGAATTACATATTACATATCTAAATGAGAGAAGTAAATAAAATTTATAGATGATGTGAATAACTCCATTACCTCCAAGGAAGAAAAAAAATTTTAAAACAGAACACAAAAAAGCACTGTTTAACGGAAAAAAACCTGACGTATGTACCTATTCAGATAACTTTTTTTGTTTGTTTGTTTTTGAGATGGACTCTTGCTCTGTCGCCAGGCTGGAATGCAGTGGCATGATCTCGGCTCACTGCAACCTCTGCCTACCCAATTCAAGCGATTCCCCTGCCTCAGCCTCCTGAGTAACTGGGATTACAGGCGCACGCCACCACACCCAGCTAATTTTTTGTATTTTAGTAGAGACAGAATTTCATCACATTAGCCAGGATGGTCTCGATCTCCTGACCTCATGATCCAACTGCCTCGGCCTCCAAAAGTGCTGGGATTACAGGTGTGAGCCACCGCACCCAGCCTACAGAGAACTTTTCTGCACCAAAAGATACCATATAAAAAGGCACCACAGGCAAACTACAGAATGGGAGAAGACATAAGTAACCTACTTAAACTGACAAATGCCTTATATTAAGAATATATAAAAAGCTCCTATGAATCAAAATATGCATTAATTAAAAATAAAAATAGATAAGTGATGAGAACAATCACTTCACAGAATAGGACATCAAAATGGTCAGCACTGAGATGCTCAAACTCATTAGTAGCCAGAGATAGTGCAAATTAAAGCCATCAAAAATGGCTACAATTTTAAAAGATTGGCAATAATGTGCACTCAGGAGAATATAAAAGGGAATTCTCACATGCTGCTGTTGGAAGAAAAGTTCAGTAAAACCACTCTGGAAAACAATTTGGCCTTTTCTACTAACAACATACCTTATGACCAAGAGATTTCGATCTTAGATATATATCCAACAGAAATGGCTTCACATGTGCATTAAAAAACACATATGAGGCCGGGCACGGTGGCTCATGCCTGTAATCCCAGCACTCTGGGAGGCTGAGGCAGGTGGATCACCTGAGGTCAGGAGTTTGAGACCAGCCTGGCCAACATGGCGAAACTTCATCTCTACGAAAAATACAAAAATTAGCCAGGCACAGTGGCGGGTGCCTGTCATCCCAGCTACTCAGGAGGCTGAGGCAGGAGAACCACTTGGAACCCGGGAGGCAGAGGTTGCAGTGAGCCAAGATTGCGCCACTGCACTCCAGGCAGGGCAACAAAAGCAAAACTCCGTCTCAAAACAAAACCACAAGAGTGTTCTCAGCAGTAATACTTACAATGGTCCCAAACTAAAAATAATGTAATATCCATCAAGAATAGAATGGATAAATGTGGCGTAATCACACAAGTATATAGTTCCTAAAAATGAACTACGGGTCCCACAACATGGATGAATCTCACAAACAATGCTGAGCCAAGGAAGCAAGACACAAAAAATAGTGTGCAGCCAAGCATGGTGGCTCACTCCTGTAATCCCAGCACTTTGGGAGGCCAAGGCGGGACAATCACTTGAGGTCAGGAGTTCAAGACCAGTCTAACCAACGTGGTAAAATCCCGACTCTACTAAAAATGCAACAATTAGCCGGGCGTGGTGGTGCATACCTGTAATCCCAGCTACTCGGGAGGCTGAGGCAGAAGAATCGCTTGAATCCGGGAGGTGGAAGTTGCACTGAGCCGAGATCATGCCACTGCACTCTAGCCTGGGAAACAGAGCGAAACTCCACCTCAAAAAAAAAAAAAAATACACTGTGGGGAAGCACGGTAACTAGCATTTGTAATCCCAACACTTTAGGAGACTGAGGCAGGAGAATCACTTGAGGCCAGGAGTTAGAGACCAGCCTGGGCAATATAGCAAGATCCTGTCTCTACAAAAAATTTATAACTTGGCTGGGCGCTGTGGCTCAAGCCTTTAATCCCAGCGCTTTGGGAGGCCACAATGGGCAGATTACCTGAGGTCAGAAATTTAAGACCGCCCTAGCCAACATGAAGAAACCTCGTCTCTATTAAAAATACAAAAATTAGCTGGGCATGGTGGCAGGCACCTGTAATCCCAGCTACTCGGGTGCCTGAGGCAGGGAGAATCACTGGAACCCAGGAGGCAGAGGTTGCAGTGAGCCAAGATCGTGCCGTTGCACTCCAGCCTGGGCAACAGAGCAAGACTCTCTCTCAAAAAAAACAAAAAAAGAACAAAAAATTGAAAATTAGCAGGGCAAGGTGGCTCATGCTCAGGAAGAACCACTTGAACCCAGGAGGTGGAGGCTGCCCAGAGCCATGATTGCATCACCGCACTCCAGCCTGAGAAACAGAGCCTGCACTCCCGTCTGAGCAACAAAGCAAGGCCCTACCCCCCAAAAAAGTGTAATTTCATCTATGTGAAGCTCAAAAACAGAACGTCAAACCACAGTATTTAGCAATAAAGACTTAGGGTGTGAAAATATTTTTTAAGAACAAGAGAACTGGCCAAGCACAGTAGCTCACACTTGTAATCTCAGCACTTTGGGTCACCAAGGCAGGAGGATCGTTTAAACCTAGGAGTCTGAGAATCCTGGCAACGTACCGAGAACTCATCTCTAGGAAAAATAAGAAAATTAGGCCGGGCGTGGTGGCTCACGCCTGTAATCCCAGCGCTTTGGGAGGCCGAGGCAGGTGGATCACGAGGTCAGGAGATCAAGACCATCCTGCCTAACATGATGAAACCCCGTCTCTACTAAAAATACAAAAAATTAGCCGGGCGTGGTGGCGGGCGCCTGTAGTCCCAGCTACTTGGGAGGCTGAGGCAGGAGAATGGCATGAACCCAGGAGGCGGAGCTTGCAGTGAGCCAAGATCGTGCCACTGCACTCCAGCCTGGGTGACACAGCGAGACTCCGTCTCAAAAATAAAAATAAATAAATAAATAAAATAAATTAGCTGGGCATGGTGGCACATGCCTATATTCTCAGCTACCTGGGAGACTGAGATGGCAAGATCACTTGAACCTGGGAGGTCAAGGCTGCAGTGAGTCATGATTATGCCACTGCACTCCAGCCTGGGCAAAGGAGCAAGCCCCATCTCAAAAAAAAAAAAAAACAAATATATATATTAAATATATATATATATATATATATATATTTTATATATATATTTTTATATATATATTTTATATATATAATATATATATAAAATATATATATAAAATAAAAGTCAAGATAATTGTTCTTTTAGAGGAAAGGGAGGGTACCGTATGAAATACAAAGGGGCGCACAGTAAGAGAGTTCGGTGGTGCTGACATTCTGGTTCTTGACCCAGATAAAATTTGTGTATGTGGGGTTTTTTAACTTTTTTTTTTTTTTTAATTTAAATAGAGACAGGGTCTTGCTATGTTACTCAAGCTAGTCTCAAACTCCAGGGCTCAAGTAATCCTTTCGCCACAGCCTCCCAAAGTGTTGGGATGACAGGTATGAGCCACTGCACCAGGGCTAGTTTGTGTTTATAATAATTATTTAGGCCCGGTGCAGTGGCTCACGCCTATTATCCCAACACTTTGGGAGGCCAAGGCAGGCGGATCATGAGGTCAGGACATGGAGATCACCCTGGCTAACACAGTGAAACCACGTCTCTACTAAAAATACAAAAAATTAGCCAGGCATGGTGGTACACACCTGTAGTGCCAACTACTTAGGAGGCTGAGGCAGGAGAATTTCTTGAACCCGGGAGGCAGAGGTTGCAGTGAGCCGAGATCACACCACTGCACTCCAGCCTGGTGACAGAACAAGACTCCATTTCAAAAAAGAAAAAAATTTTTAAGCAGTATATTTATATCTAATTAACTTTATGTGTTTTATTTCACAATAAAAGGGAATTGTGAAAAACGTTTTTACAAAAGGCAAATAAATGGGAAAAACCTACCAGACATTATCAATAACTACTGTAGTTTTTTTTTTTTAAAGTATGTATAAAACATATATATAAACTGAAATGATGGCCAGGCACAGTGGCTCATGCCTGTAATCCCACCACTTTGGGAGGCCAAGGCAGGCAGATCACCTGAGGTGAGGAGTTCGAGACCAGCCTGGCCAACGTGGCAAAACGCTGTTTCTACTAAAAATAAAAAAAATTAGCCAGTGTAGTGGTGCATGCCAGTAGTCCCAGCTACTCAGCAGGCTGAAGCAAGAGAATTGCTTGAACCTGGGAGGTGGAGATTGCAATGAGCCACGATGGCGCCACTGCACTCCAGTGTGGGCGACACAGAGAGACTTCATCTCAAAAAATAATAATAAAAATTAAAAACATAAATTGAATTTTCATGGTTCACTTTTCATGGTTCATCTCACTTAAGTCATGGCGGGCACAGTGGCTCACACCTGTAATCCCACCACTTTGGGAGGCTGAGATGGGTGGATCACCTGAGGTCAGAAGTTCAAAACCAGCCTGACTAACATATAGTGAAACCCCACCTCTACTAAAAAAAAATACAAAAATTAGCCAGGCATGGTGGCGGGTGCCTGCAGTGCCAGCTACTCGGGAGGCTGAGACAGTAGAATTATTTGAACCCTACAGGCAGCGGTTGCAGTGAGCCGAGATCACGCCACTGCACTCCAGCCTGGGCGACAGAGCAAAACTCCATCTCAAAAAAGAAAAAAAAAGAAAAAAAGAACTACATTCCTGCCAGGCACGCTGGCTCATGCTTGTAATGCCAACACTTTGGGAAGCTGAGGCAGGAGGAGCTCTTCAGGCCAGGAGGCTGAAGGTGCAGTGAGCCATGATGGCACCAATGCACTTCAGCCGGGACAACTAAAGTGAGACCCTGTCTCTTTAAAAAGAAACAAACAAAAAACTCTATATTCTAATTAGCTAACCAATCCAATTATCAAAGTAACCTCTAACATTTCAGTGCTTTAAAAAAGGAGAGCAAAAACAACTGCATTCCCTCCCTGATAAGACAACTGCCCACAGTGGAAAGTATACCATGGTGGTAAAAAGAAGCATAAACTTTCCAATTAAAGCTGCACTAACTAATTGTAAGACTTTCTGCAAATTACTATATTTTTCCAAGCCTAGTTTCCTCATATATGAAGTGAGGATAACAATACATATCTTCTGTAAATTACTTCACAGTTACGAATTGTGGTTTGGAATGATAACAACAACATATACCACCATCATTGTCACAGGGATCAAATGGGAATTTACATAAATGGTTTATAACAGCAACGTGTACACAGCAACACTTAATCGTTTTTGTCTGTTCTATTTCTCTTTGCTCTTCTTTGTAAATGCATACTGCATAAAACCACAAGGTATTGTTAACCCTGCCTCAACACCTATTCCCACCACCAAAAGAAATCTACACACACTTAACCTTCTCATTATCTTATGATATTATAATATCCCTATTTTATATATGGACTGAGGCTCAAAAAAGCAGAGCTGCCTATATAGATCAGACATAGAACAAAATCAAAGCCAAGATTTACTATAAACAGTTATTGATTTTGGTGTTAAAAGCATTTTGTTACTAATGAGAAATCAATTCTAAATAATATGGAGGTCGGGTGTGGTGGCTCATGCTTGTAATCCCAGCACTTTGGGAGGTCGAGGCAGGTGGATCACTTGAGACCAGGAGTTTGAGACCAGCCTGGCCAACATGGCAGAATCCTATTTCTACTAAAAATACAAAAATTAACCGAGTGTGGTGACAGGCACCTGTAGTCTCAGCTACGTGGGAGGCTGAGGCAGGAGAATCACTTGCACCCAGGAGGTGGAGGGTGCAGTGAGCGGAGATCGTGCCATTGCACTCCAGCCTGGGCAACAAGAGTGAAACTCTGTCTCAATAAATTAATTAATACGGAAAAAAATTGTAGTTTTCAGAAAACAACACAGAAAAGAGATGATGGATCTCAGACTATCCAGTGAGATCCATAATCCAAACAAGGAATCACGTATGGAAAGTAAAATTTAGAATTTAATTTTAAAGCAATTGGATTTCTAATGCAAATGATAGAAATAATTCCTCTAAAGCAGTAATAAAATGAATTCAAATTGGACCTCATCCCATGTTCTAAAGCTATTTATTCTCATGTAAATGGACCAAATGAAAACATCCTCTCAGCCTCCACACCCTCAAAATTTTGTTATAATCTTTTTCTGATAGAAGGGGAGGAAAGCACAGGACCTAAAATCCCTAAAGAGATTTCTTTAAAACATATACACACACAGACTCGTGTATTTACTGTAAAAAACCACTCCAAAATATTTCCATTTTTAAACAAAGGTAAAAAGAAATTGAAATTTTTATTTCTGTATCTCACTAATCAAAAGTAACCAATTCTTAGTAAAGAATTATTATGGAAGGCTTTAGATGTGATAATGGGAATATATTTATCTTTACGATATTGGGGAGAAGAGTCTAGGTATGAGTATAGATGAAACAAAACTGGAATGAGTGAATTTTGAAGCTGGGTAAAAATTATGTGAGGAGGCAATAAACTATTTTGTCTTCATCTGTATTGTATGAAATTTTCCATAATTAAAAGTTTTTTTAATAATTAATAATACATTTTTACACTGTTCTAAGGAGTGTCTTTAAGTGAAATTTTCAAGCAATCATGCTCACCTGGTAGAAATCTAGGTTTTAATCATTAAACATTACATTTTTGCATGTGACATACTTGTATTTTATTATTTTTTACTAGCTGGAATAGAATCCTGTGATGCTATCTATGATTCTTCTTCTATGGTAACAGCTAATGTCATGTGATACTGAATTCTAATCAAATAGTTATCTTAAATATTCAGATAAATAGAGGTGGCCAGGCGTGGTGGCTCATGCCTGTAATCCCAGCACTTTGGGAGGCCAAGGTGGGTGGATCACATGAGGTCCGGAGTTTGAGACCAGCCTGGCCAACATGGCAAAACCCCATTTCTACTACGAATACAAAAAAATTGGCCAAGTGTGGTGGGGGGGGCCTGTAATCCCAGCTACTCGGGAGGCTGATGCAAGAGAATCACTTGAACCTGGGAGACGGAGGTTGCGGTGAGCCAAGATCACGCCACTGCACTCCATCCTGGGTGACAGAGCAGGGCTCTACCTCAAATAAAAAAAAGGCAGGCAGGGAGGGGGCAAAACAGTACAACCATTCTGGAAAACAATTTAGCGGTTTCTTAAAATATTAAACATAAATTTACTACATGACCGAGCAATTCCAATCCTAGGTATCTGCCAAAGAGGAATGAAACATATGTCTACACCAAGACTTGTAAATGAATGTTCACAGCATTATTCACAACAGCCAAATGTTTGAAACTCAAATGTCCATGAAGTAAACAAATTAATAAAATGAAGAACTCTTCAAAATACAAGAAAGTATTGAAACATGCCTTAACATGGATTATCCTCAAAAACATTGCTAAATAAAAGCCAAACATAAGAGCATATAAATGATTCCAATTTTATGAAATGTCCCAAAAAAGCATATCTATAGAGACAGAAAATAGATTAGTAGTACCCTAAGATTAGAAAATGAGAAATGACTACAAATGGGCACAGATTTTCTTCTTTGGGGGGTGATAGAAGTATTCTGAAATTAGGTAGTGTTGGCTACATAGTTTTCCAAATTAACTAAACATCACTGAATTGTACACTTAAAATGGGAGAATTTTATGTTATGTAAATTATACCTCAACGTATCTGTCAAGGAAAAACAGAAAAGCAAGGAGCGGCAGCACTACAGTGCCTCTGGGATGATAAGTGGGTAGATGGGTGGATGGATGGGTGGGTGGGTAGGTGGGTGGCTGGGTAGGTGGGTAGGTGGGTAGGTGGGTGGGTGGGTAGGTGGGTGGGTGGGTGGGTGGGTGGATGGATGGATGGATGGATCGATCTCAAAAAAGTAACTTGCTCCAAAGTTTCAGCTAAATACTTGACAGGGCAATCTAGGATGGACTGCAAAATCCATACTCTTCCTAGATGCAAAAGCAAGAATGCACTAGAAGCAATATATATCTCACTCAACTTTGTAAGGATAAATCCAATCCACAAGTGGCTCTTTTAAAACTGAAGTGAGTCCGGGAGCGGTGGCTCATGCCTGTAATCCCAGCACTTTCGGAGGCCAAGGCGGGCAGGTCACCTGAGGCCAGGAGTTCGAGACCAGCATGACCATTACGGAGAAATCCCATCTCTAGTGAAAATATAAAATTAGCTGGGCATGGTAGTGCATACTTGTAATCCCAGCTACTCGGAAGGCTGAGGTAGGAGAATCGCTTGAACTCGGGAGGCAGAGGTTGTGGTAAGCTGAGATCGCGCCATTGCACTCCAGCCTGGGCAACAAGAGCGAAATTCCGTCTCAAAAAAAAAAAAAAAAAAATCTTAAGTGAACACTGAGCATTAAATTAAGAAGAATGAAACAAGATAAACCATCTGTGTGGAATGAACAAAGTAAATACATAAAATCCAAAATAGGTGGCATGGGAAGCAGAACCCAGATCTTGTAAATGATTATATCAAGCTGAAACCAAATTAACTCAATGGTGAGGAGTATTCAAACAAATTAAATTTGGCAGTTTGTCTCCAACACAGTCCCAGGAGAATGTGTCCTGACCCAGATCTGCTATAGTGAAGACAGATTTATCAAGCTATCTGAGCTCAATAACAGTCACAACTAAAATGAACCAACTTGGGCTGAGCACGGTGGCTCACACCTGTAATACCAGCACTTTGGGAGGCCGAGGCAGGCAGATCACCTGAGGTCAGGAGTTCAAGTCCAGCCTGGCCAACATGGCAAAACCCTGTCTCTACTAAAAATACAAAAATTAGCTGGGCATAATAGCTGGCGCCTGTAATCCTGCTACTCGGGAGGTTGAGGCAGGAGAATCACTAGAACTCAGGAGGCGGAGGTTGCAGTGAGCCAAGATTGTGCCATTGTACTCCAGTCTGGGTGACAGAGCAAGATTCCATCTCAAAAAAAAAAGAAAAAGAAAAAGAAAAGAAATCTGTGGATGTACAAAATGTCCCCCCAAAAGAACTACCACTTATATTCATATTTCATAGTTTACAGAGCACTGTTAACATTAGCTCATTTGCTAGCCAATATGCTCTGAGATGACACAGACATACCTATTTATTACCAATACAAGTGACGCAGAGAGGTAAAAGTAATTTACAGAAGCACATGATGCTAATAAATTGACTAATCTGGATTAGAATCCAAGTCATTCTCCGAATCCAGCAGTTCCTTCCTTAGACATTGGAAGTGTATAAAAGGTCAACCAAATAAAACCAAGAAAGCCTGAGCTGCCAGGAAAATCAATGATTATTTTTCTGCAGTCTTATAAAGCAGTCAGAGAAAGTCTTCAAAAAAGATAATAAGCTTACAGACAAGAGATCAAGATAGGACACAATAAAGAGAAACGCTCAGAATTTGGATAAAAAAGGGAAATAGAAGATTTAAAAATAATACTGAAGGCAGTATAACAGAATCAAATAGTTCAATTTGGAACTAAGTAAATCATTTTAATTTTATATGTAAACGAAAATAATGAAGCCCCTTATCTTAGAATCTTGTTGAATATCTAATACTCTTTTTACATTATTTTTTTCTTAGTACAGAGGCCATGCTAATCTCTATATGGTTCCCATTTTAGTGTATGTGCTGCCAAAGTGAGCACTCTTTTTACATTATTTATCAAAAGAAATGAAATAAATTGCTTACAGATCAGAAGGGGTGAAGTTAAATAATTTGGTTCCATTATAAAAGTGGTATTAAGAATTACACTATGGGGCCGGGCGCGGTGACTCTCGCCTGTAATCCCAGCACTTCAGGAGGCTGAGGCGGGCGGATCACGAGGTCAGGAGATGAGGCCGAAGTGGGTGAATCACAAGGTCAGGAGATCAAGACCATCCTGGCTAACACGGTGAAACCCTGTCTCTACTAAAAATACAAAAAATTAGCCGGGAGTGGTGGCGGGCACCTATAGTCCTAGCTACTCGGGAGGCTGAGGCAGAAGAATGGCATGAACCCGGGAGGCAGAGCTTGCAGTGAGTGCCACTGCATTTCAGCCTGGGCAACAGAGCTAGACTCCATCTCAAAAAAAAAAAAAATTACACTATGGGGCTAGGTGTGGTGGCTCACACCTGTAATCCCAGCACTTTGGGAGGCCAAGAAGGACAGATCGCTTGAGCTTCCAAGTTTGAGACCAGCCAAGGCAACATGGTGAGACCCCATCTCTAATAAAAATACAAAAAAATAGCCAGGCATGGTGGTGCACACCTGTGGTAACAGCTACTTAGGAGGCTGAGATGGGAGGATCACCTGAGCCCAGGAAGTTGAGGCTGCAGTAAGCCATGACTGCATTCCAGCCTGGGCAACAGAGCAAGATCCTGTCTCCAAAAAAAAGGAAAAAAAAATGATGTACTAAAATTACCTCATAGTAGCCTCACTAAAATTACCACAAAGATATATCTTTCCGTTTTTGTCCTAAAATTTATACTTTAGTTTTCTGTATGCCTCCAAGCAACATGCATCACAAATGTTAAGGTGATGTCTATGTGGTCTCATTTCAAACTTTTTCAACATCTCCCAGAAATAAAATAATAATTAAATTCAAGTTTCACAGTGAACAGATGAGGTCATCTACTGAAAAAGAGAAGGGAAGTGGTAAAGTAAGGGGGCTATAGGAGATTACAAGTTTTTAAGTAACTGTATGAGGAATGAGAAAAAACTAGGAACAAAGGAGAATTACTGGGTAATGCTGAGGGTTCAATTAAGATTGGAGAGCATGACTCTCCCTCTCCCTCTCCCTCTCCCTCTCCCCCTCCCTCTCCCCTCTCCCTTCTCCCCTCTCCCTCTCCCCCCTTTCCCTCTCCCCACGGTCTCCCTCTCCCTCTCTTTCCACGGTCTCCCACTGATGCCGAGCCGAAGCTGGACTGTACTGCTGCCATCTCGGCTCACTGCAGCCTCCCTGCCTGATTCTCCTGCCTCAGCCTGCCGAGTGCCTGCGATTGCAGGCGCGCGCCACCACGCCTGACTGGTTTTCGTATTTTTTTGGTGGAGACGGGGTTTCGCTGTGTTGGCCGGGCTGGTCTCCAGCTCCTAACTGTGAGTGATCCGCCAGCCTCGGCCTCCCGAGGTGCCGGGATTGCAGACGGAGTCTGGTTCACTCAGTGCTCAATGGTGCCCAGGCTGGAGTGCAGTGGCGTGATCTCCGCTCGCTACAACCTCCACCTCCCAGCCGCCTGCCTTGGCCTCCCAAAGTGCCGAGATTGCAGCCTCTGCCCGGCCGCAACGCCGTCTGGGAAGTGAGGAGCATCTCTGCCCGGCCGCCCATCGTCTGGGACGTGAGGAGCCCCTCTGCCTGGCTACCCAGTCTGGAAAGTGAGGAGCGTCTCTGCCCGGCTGCCATCCCATCTAGGAAATGAGGAGCGCCTCTTCCCGGCCGCCATCCCATCTAGGAAGTGAGGAGCGTCTCTGCCCGGCCGCCCATCGTCTGAGATGTGGGGAGCGCCTCTGCCCCGCCGCCCCGTCTGGGATGTGAGGAGCACCTCTACCCGGCCGCGACCCCGTCTGGGAGGTGAGGAGCGTCTCTGCCCAGCCGCCCCGTCTGAGAAGTGAGGAGACCCTCTGCCTGGCAACCGCCCCATATGAGAAGTGAGGAGCCCCTCCGCCCGGCAGCCACCCCATCTGGGAAGTGAGGAGCGTCTCTGCCCGGCAGCCACCCCATCCGGGAGGGAAGTGGGGGTCAGCCCCCGCCAGGCCAGCCGCCCCGTCCAGGAGGGAGGTGGGGGGATCAGCCCCCTGCCCGGCCAGCCGCCCCGTCCGGGAGGGAGGTGGGGGGGTCAGCCCCCCGCCCGGCCAGCCACCCCGTCTGGGAGGTGAGGGGCGCCTCTGCCTGGCCGCACCTACTTGGAAGTGAGGAGCCCCTCTGCCCGGCCAGCCGCCCCGTCCGGGAAGGAGGTGGGGGGGTCAGCCCCCCGCCCGGCCAGCCGCCCCGTCCGGGAGGGAGGTGGGGGGGTCAGCCCCCCGCCCGGCCAGCCGCCCCGTCCGGGAGGGTGGTGGGGGAGTCAGCCCCCCGCCCGGCCAGTCGCCCCGTCTGGGAGTGAGGTGGGGGGGTCAGCCCCCCGCCAGGCCAGCCGCCCCGACCAGGAGGGAGGTGGGGGGGTCAGCCCCCCGCACAGCCAGCCGCCCCGTCCGGGAGGTGAGGGGCGCCTCTGCCCGGCCGCCCCTACTGGGAAGTGAGGAGCCCCTCTGCCCGGCCACCACCCCGTCTGGGAGGTGTACCCAACAGCTCATTGAGAACGGGCCATGATGACAATGGCGGTTTTGTGGAATAGAGGAGGGGAGAAAGGCGGGGAAAGGATTGAGAAATCGGATGGTTGCCATGTCTGTGTAGAAAGAGGTAGACACGGGAGACTTTTCATTTTGTTCTGTACTAAGAAAAATTTTTCTGCCTTGTGATCCTGTTGATCAGTGACCCTACCCCCAACCCTGTGCTCTCTGAAACATGTGCTGTGTCCACTCAGGGTTAAATGGATTAAGGGTGGTGCAAGATGCGCTTTGTTAAACAGATGCTTGAAGGCAGCATGCTCGTTAAGAGTCATCACCACTCCCTAATCTCAAGTACCCAGGGACACAAACACTGAGGAAGGCCGCAGGGTCCTCTGCATAGGAAAACCAGAGACCTTTGTTCACTTGTTTATCTGCTGACCCTCCCTCCACTATTGTCCTATGACCCTGCCAAATCCCCCTCTGTGAGAAACACCCAAGAATGATCAATAAAAAAAAAAAAAAAAAAGATTGGAGAGCATGAATACTTAGTGGCTCCAGTCTGCAAGTTTGTTATTTTCTCCAGCTGTGCTCAGTAGCTCAGAGCCAGGTACACAGAAGTCAGAAAGATGAAGTGATGTGGTTGGGTTTTAGACAAATGCAATGAAAAGACAAAAATGCAAAGCAGATGAACATATTTTGAGAGGTAAACAAGGTTCTCAGCTAGTTAAGAAAATAAAGGCAGGAGGGGATGATACATTGGGACAGAACAGTAATACCAGAGAGCTCTATAAGGCTGAAAAGAGACTGTGAATGTCTGTTCAAAAAAAAACATTAAACCTATGTAAAAAATCATGAATAGGTCTTCTATACCAAAGTATCATTTCTTCTTATTTTAGAAAATGAAATGCTCCTGGCTGACAATTCAAATTGTCTTGTTAAAGTGAACTAGAAAGGTTCCAAATGGAAGTAGTCTAATACTTAAAGTATTATAATTGCAAATCTAGATGTTCCTCAACATTTCTGTGTAAATCTAGTGATATTTTTTCCCGTATTTTAAATCAACTAAGGAAGCTTCTAAATTTCTTAGTGAACCTTTACCAAAAATCTTACCCTAAGCAAATGAGTCACTCTATACATCAATATTACCACTCTTCAGTAGGCAAGAACTAGAAAACAAAATTATACGGGTGTGTGTGTGTGTGTGTTTAAAATAAGGTCTTCTGACAAAAGAATTATTTCCTATTTCTAAAATCTGACTAGCTTGACCAATGATCATCAGTTGAGCTATTAACATTGCTGGTTCCATGCATGTTGTGTTTAACTGCTTTCAAAATACTACTCTACAATTTGGCACTGAAAAGTTATTAAGTATGCAGAAAGGCACAAAAAAAATCTGTATTAGCAAGTTAAGTATTAATTATTGCTAGTAATAACGCCAATTCTATGTTTTCTTGCAAAGCAACAGTAAAGTGATGACTTATGGGATATGAGAACAGCCACAAGTAGATGAAGCTGTATTATGTTTTGTTACTGAGACACATGCAGAAGGACAGCCTATCATATGCCACGCAATACAAATAAAGGTAGAAGAAACTGCCATATCCCTGAGAACAGATAAGATTTCAAAGCAATGAATGGCTGGTGTGACCAAGTACAGACAGCATGAGGTTACTGCTTCCTTCCTATTGTACCCTAAAATAGTGTTGTGTCTTCTATTAATAGCAACTCAAATTCAATGAAATAAAATTTTAAAAATCAGAACACTTCATTCCCAGTCTTCCCTACTTTAGGACTGTATCACAAATCACTCAATTATTAGTTAGAAACCTGGAGATCGTCCTTGACTTATCCCTTTCCTCACTTATCTACTCTAACTCCAATACACATACAGAATAAGAACACTTCTCAGTATTATCTCTATTACAACCATCATCCAAGGCACTGTATCTGTCACCTGTACACTGTAACAACCTAACCCTCCCTCTTGCATTCCCCACACCCCACCCACCATCCAATATTCACACAATAGCAAAAGCAAGGGTTCTCAACCTTGCCACTAGTGACATTTTGGGCCAATAGTTGTTTACTGTTCTGTGCATTACAGAAGGTTTAGCAGCATCCCTGATCTCTATCCACTGATGCCAGTAGCATACACCATCATCCCCAGGTCTCTATCCACTGATGTCAGTAGCATACACCATAATCCCTAGGTTTCTATCCACTGATGCCAGCAGCATAAACCATTATTCCCAGTTGTGACAATCAAAAATCTAGACATTGCCAAATGTCCCCTGGGAAGCAAAATCGCCCTCAGTTGAGAACCACTAAGCTAGAAGAATATGTTTTGTTTTGAGACAGTCTTGTTCTGTCACCTGGGCTGGAGTGCAGCAGCACAATCTCGGCTCACTGCAACCTCTGCCTCCCAGGTTCAAGTGATTCTCCTGCCTCAGTCTCCCAAGTAGCTGGGATCACAGGTGTGCGCCACCTTGCCTAGCTAATTTTCGTATTTTTAGTAGAGATGGGGTTTTGCCATGTTGACCAGGCTGGTCTCAAAGTCCTGGCCTCAAGCCATCAATCTGTCTTGGCCTCCAAAAGTGCTGGGATTACAGGTATGAGCCACTGCACCCGTCCTAGAAGAATGTTTTTTAAACATTCCTCTTCTTAAAACTCTCTAACAGCTTCTCATTTCACTTATAATAAAATCTATGAGTCCTAACTATCCCAAATACACCCTACATAATCCAGACTCTGCTTACCTCTCTAACCTCATGCAACACCACTGTACTCTTCCTGCATTATGTTCCCTCTAGTCACTATGGCCTTCTCTGAATTCCTAGAGCCATTTCTGCTAAAAAGATTTATCCTTGCTCTTCCCTGTATCTGGACCATTCTTGCCTAGGTTCTGTACACATCCTCAGCTTAAATTTCACACCCTCAGAGATGCCTTTCCTGGCCTTTTTTAATGTTAAGTACCTCATTATTATCCATCATAACACCTCATTTATTCCCTTCATAGACAGCATTCATCATAATATATGATTATTTTGTTTACATGATACTGTCTCTCATGTAAGAATAAATACCATCTGCCTTCTTTTCCAGTATATAAATGAAATGAAAAATGTATAACTTGGACAGCCTTAAGTAATAGGCGAGCTGGCAGCAGTGATAATCCCAGCACCACCCCAATCTCATTCCCCATCTATGTTTATGATCATTTCCCCTTGAAGTGAAGGGGAGGGGAGGAGAGAGAAGAAAAAGAGCCTAACAAAGCCCTCATCTGTAAAAACATCTTTGCCATATTCTCTGAAGGGTTATATGTGAAGAAAATGGCATGTAATGAATCTAAAGCACTTGAAAGCCTTAATAAAAAGCTTGTATTCAATAAATGATGGCTATGTATTTAAAGCACCAAAAATAATGCCTATAACAGATACTTGAGAAATGACAGTTCTCTCGCCCCTTTAATCTACCACCAGGTTGGCCTGAATATAGTTAAGGATGGAACTCTGTCTCTGAGAGATACTTTCCCCCTTTTGGGTCTCTAGGAACACAACATGCTAGGTGTAACAGGTTAGTTATTCAAATATGTTCTCTAGGGAAAGCGAAATATCCATTAACCAAAGCCAACTCATCACAAAATGACCTGAGAATTACATTTTGTTTCAGTAAGGAAAATAATCATATTATTATTAAATTTTAGAACCTAACTTTAACCTTTGGGAGGAAAAACATCTAGATTATTAACAATATCGGTGTTGGTTATTTAAAAATACCCACCATGGCCGGGAGCGGTGGCTCATGCCTGTAATCCTAGCACTTTGGGAGGCTGAGACGGGTAGATCACCTGAGGTCAAGAGTTTGAGACCAGCCTGGCCAACCTGGTGAAACCCCATCTCTACTAAAAATACAAAAAATTAGCCAGGTGTGGTGGTGGGCAGCTGTAATCCCAGTTACTCGGGAGGCTGAGACAGGGGAGCTGCTTGAACCTGGGAGGCGGAGGTTGCAGTAAGCCGAGGTTGCGCCATGCACTCCAGCCTGGGCAACAAGTGCGAAAGCCCATTTCAAAAAAAAAATCAAAAACAAAAAAACACCACACTGAATACAAGTTTACTTACACTAAATAGTAAATTGAGTCCATGATTAGAATCAAGTAACAAAGGGGAAATAAACTATAAAGTACCACAATACTTTTAGTTAATAATTAGAACAAAATTATTTATCTTAAATTCCTTTTAATGTCTTGTTTCTGAAAGCAGCATGTAAATGCATTTGTGGGTATGGGGAAAATGATAAAGAAGTATAAAGGGAGCATAAAGGAAGCCAGACTGCCAGAGTCTGAATCCCAGATCTTCTAATTACTACCTATATAACCTTTGGAAAGTCAACTAACTTCTCCGTGCCTCAGTTTTTTCATCTGTAAAGAGACTTAGCCCTACCCACCACATGGGGCTATTGTAGGGATTACATGAGTCAATATATACAATATGCTAAGAACAGTAGTTGGCATCTAACACATACTGTTAACTATTATTATATAATGTTATTATGTTCCTGTTAACTATTACTATATTACTTTCTCTTTCTGCATCATTGTGGTTAACAACTACCACACTGGATAGCACAAACAAAAAAATTTCCATCACTGCAGAAAGTTACATTAAACAGCACTATATCAAACTATAGGATAGTTAAAATGCCTGGTGAGATGATGCATATAATCCTCTTCCCTAATTTATTAGGAAGTGCTTAGTAAAAAGCACTCCTAAACCCTAAGTGTTTTTTAATCTAATACTTTGACATGTAACAACAAAGAACTTAGGTTTCATTTCTATTTAACAAAACAAATAAAGGAGGGATGGGAAAGAGAGACAGTCTCTTCTGTAAAGATTCTTTTGTTTTTTTTGAGACAGGATTTCACTCCTATTGCCCAGGCGAGAGTGAAAGGCACGATCTTGGCTCACCGCAGCCTCTGCCTCCCTGGCTCAAGGGATTCTCCTGACTCAGCTTCCAGAGTGGCTGGGACCACATATGCATGCCATCGTGCCTAGCTAATTTGCGTGTGTGTGGTTTTTTTGTTTTTGTTTTTGTTTTTTTGAGACAGGGTTTCACCATGTTGCCCAGGCTGGTCTCAAACTCCTGAGGTCAAGTGATCTGCCAGCCTCAGCCTCCCAAAGTGTTGGGATTACAAGAGTGAGCCACCACGCTCAGCCTAGACAAAGGGATTTATGAATTTAAAATTTCCTGTCTACCCTACATCAAGCTATCCACTAAACTCTCCCTCTTTGTGAATGGTACCATGCTTATAAGAGAATTAATTATATTCAAATACAATTATCAATATATTAAAGCAACTTAAAATATTGTAATATGATTCTTTAACACAGTAAATAAGATCTAGAGGTTAGTCTAACAATTACCCTAATTTTGAAGTACTGAAATTGTACTTTGAAATATCTACAACATCTGTAGTTTTCCTTTTTTTTTTTTTTTTTTTTTTGAGACAGAGCTGTGCTGTCACCCAGGCTGGAGTACAATGACATGATCTCGGCTCACTGAAACCTCCGCCTCCCAGTTTCAAGTGATTCTCCTGCCTCAGCCTCTCGAGTAGCTGGGATTACAGGCATGTGCCTCCACGCCCAGCTAATTTTTGTATTAACATTTTTAGTAGAGACAGGATTTTGCTATGTTGGCCAGGCTAGTCTTGAACTCCTAGCCTCAAGTGATCCACCCACCTCGCCCTCTCAAAGTGCTGAGATTACAGGCATGAGCCACCACGCCAGGCTTTTTTTTTTTTTTTTTTTTTTTTTTTTTGAGACAGAGTCTCGCTCTGTTGCCCGAGCTGGAGTGCAGTAGCGTGATCTCAGCTCACTGCAACCTCCGCCTCCCAGGTTCAAGCAATTCTCCTGCCTTGGCCTCCTGAGTAGCTGGGACTACAGACACGTGCCACTACGCCCGGCTAATTGTGGTTAAGAGACAGAGTCGCCCTCTGTCACCCAGGCCCTCTGTCACTGCAACCTCAAGTTCCTGGGCTCAGGCAATCCTCCCACCACAGCCTCTCAAGTAGCTGGGACTACAGGCCCACACCACCACACCCAATCTGTAATTTAATATGAAAATATTTCTAATTTCTGTTGGTGACAAAATAAGTATTGCTAACACAACTGTGATTTGTTGCCAACATTTGAAATTGAAGGAACTGCTAAATTTCAGTTATAGGTTAGTAAAAATAAAGATGTCATTATTTTGCCATCCAAATTCAAGAACCCAAGGTTTTTTGTTTTAATTGCTTAAGACATTAGACTTTAGAGTCACAAAAACCTGGACTCAACCACTTTCCAGCTATGTAACATTGGGAAAAGGTACTTAACCTCTCTACCTTGCCTGTGAAATAGGAATAATACCTACATAAAACTGCTGTGTTGTTTAATTATTATGCATGTAAGCTACTTGACACCATGTTTGATACATTTTCAATAAATATGTACACTATTATAATCAGAACTATATATAGTTCACAACTCTCACTGTGCATCAGAAACTCAGATTTGGGTTCAGCTGGTCTGGGACAAATCCCAGACACTGCTATAGTTTTAAAGCTGTCAGGTAATTCTAAGGTGCAGCCACTGGCCTAAGGACAAAGTTCAAACACTTTCCTTTGGCACTTCACTCTGCTCATGACTTACAGCTCTGTATTTTAATCACTCTTCCCTAGTCACCCCATGCTCCAAACACAATCAAGTAACACTTTCTGAAGAGGTGGGCTATAGCAATGATTCTTAAACTTCAGCCTACATCAGAATCACCTGAAGACCTGTAAAAACACAGATTGCTCATCCCCAGAATTTCTGAGTTGGCAGGCCTATGGTGAAGGCCAAGAATCTGCATGTCTAACAAGTTTCTAAGTAATGCTGACACCATGGTGCTAGGACCACACTTTAAGAACCACTGGGCTATATATCACAGCTCTGTCCCTTTGCATATATACACTGTACCTTCACCTGAAATGTCATTCTCATCTCCAACATCTACCCTTGTCTGGCTTTCACTTCTCTTTCAAAACTCACATAACAATTCATCTCCTTCAGGAAGCATTTGCTCACTTCAACAAACCACCTCAAGGCATTCATTACCCACTACAAAACTTTACTACAAAAAAAAAAAGCAATACAGAATGTTTATGATACAGTAATGCAAAGGGTGGATATTTGCTGGAATACACAGGTTCTTTTGTAAGAATTAGAAAAAGCACTCTCCTCTGGGCAGGTAAACTAGAAAAAGCTGGAAAAAGCAAATAGAATTTGTCAAGCAGAATAAAATCTGGATTTCAGCCTTCCCCTACCACTTTGGCCAAGTATCTTTAGGCAGGGTACCAATTCTACAACCATTCATGGCAGCCCCGGCACTGTGTGCCACTAAAATACAAAGGCAGAGAGAACACTTAGATCAACCCTGGATGGGAGAAAGAGAGGAGCAATAAGCCTATCAAGTAAAGATTTCCGAAGAAGGTACTACCTAAGTTCTGAGTCTTCATATGCCCCTCCTTGTGTACTTCGGGAAAACAAGAACTGTGCTTCAATGTCTTTATAACCACACTATATGGCTCATTGTAAATGTTCAACAAATGCTTGATGAATGACTCAATGAGCAAAATTACACGAAAACACTTGCTAACCTATCTCTTTTTCATCAAGTATGTAGCAAACACATGCCCACACCTGGCACCAGAAACTATAAGTGCTATCTAAATATCAACATTTTATTTGGCCTGTGCACTTATCAGCTAGTGGAAAGCATAAATTATTCCAATAAACAGACGGGAGGTGTGGAGGCAAAATATCACACCTAGGTCTTCAAAACTAATGACTTTCAAATCAAAAACTGCATTACCTGATAAAGACTTAACTTCATGATTATTTCAACAGGGACTAAAAAAATTACAGGAAATCTTGGAAACCAGCTATCTGGCCAAAGACACTAATTTTAGAGATGAAGAAACTGAGGCCCAGAGAAGTAATCAATCAAAGACACACAGTTAGTGGCAGAGTTATAATTAAAACTCAGATCTCTGGCCCTACACTAGTTTTTGTTCTTCTACACCATGTTGCCTTTGTATCTATAAAATCAAATCTTTTATCCACAACTAAAAAAAAAAAAAAAAAAAAAACACCTTAGTCACAATTTTGTTGTCTGCATCCCAATGGGAGGAAAAAGTAGTAAGCCATCATCTTATTTTGTCTAGAGGTAACTTTCCAACTTTGCTCTTGGTTTCATGCCTAACCTTCTGTGTGCAGAATAATAAAGAAAAAGCTAAGATTCATAAATAATCCTGATAAAGCCATCAAAATTTATCAACTACCAAAGAAGCATTACAATGTCTTTCCAGGATGCAGCACTTTTCTGAAGAAAGAAAAGGAGCCTAATTTCCGAAATATGTTTACTAAAAAGCAGAACACGCTGGTGATAACCTTCATCTCTCAATTAACCAGAGTACCTTATCATCTGACCATTCTCATTAATAAATTTTTTGTTTTTGAGACAGAGTCTTGCTCTGTCACCCAGGCTAGAGTGCAGCGGCGCAATCTCAGCTCACTGCAACCTCTACCTCCCAGTTTCAAGTGATTCGCCTGCCTCAGCCTCTCAAGTAGCTGGGATTACAGGTGCCCACCACCATGCCAGGCTAATTTTTGTATTTTCAGTAAAGACGGGGTTTCACCATCTTGGCCACACTGATCTCAAACTCCTGACCTCGTGAGCCACCCACCTCGGCCTCCCAAACTGCTGGGATTACAGGCTTGAGCCACCACGCTCGGCCTCATTAATAAAGTTTTAATCTATTGCTAGCCCTACCTGCTGATGAGAACCAATTAACTAAAATTCTTTGCTTACAGAAAGTAACCTCAGCATTTACTTAGATTACGATATGTCTTTTAAGATAAATGATCTTTGGATCTATGCACAACACAATATAGTCTAGTGGTTAAAACCTAACTTTTTTTTTTTTTTTTTTTTGAGACAGTCTCACTCTGTCACCCAGGCTGGAGTGCAGCGGCATCATCTTAGGTCACTGCAACCTCTGCCTCCTGGGCTGAAGCAATCCTCCCACCTCAGCCTCCAGAGTAGCTGGGACTACAGATGCGAGCCACCATGCCTGGCTAATTTTTGTATTTTTTTGTAGAGACAGGGTTTCGCTATGTTGCCCAGGCTGGTCTCAAACTTCTGAGCTCAAATGATCCACCCACCTCAGCGTCCCAAAGTGCTGGGATTACAGGCATGAGCTACCGTGCCTGGCCAAAGGCTAACTTTTTAACGCACACTGACAGGGAGAAGGGCAACTCCTTTTACTTTTGTATTTGCACTGTTGTGCAGCCCACAACAGTGGAATACTTTTATTATTATTCCCATTTTACAGATGAGAAAACTGAGACTTAGAAAGGTTAAAGAAGTTGCCCAAGTTTACATAGACAGAAACACGCAATTAGAATTTGATACAGTGTGATTCAGGCACCAGGAACTCTCCCAGACAATGGACAATAGATTTCTTAGCCATCTGTCATGTGACAGTGCTTCATCTGTGAACACATGAGATTTTTAACTGTAACTAGCAGCACATGGCATAAACTAAGGCATTGTTTTCCCAACAGTTAATTTAGGCTATAAGAATAAAATAGAACACAGCCTAAAATGTTCAACTTTTATACCTTGGCACTATAAGAATTTCTACACACTTGCAGGCCCGGCACAGTGGCCCACGCCTGTAATCCCAGCGCTTCAGGAGGCCAAGGCGGGCGGATCACAAGGTCAGGAGATCAAGACCATCCTGGCTAACACGGTGAAACCCTGTCTCTACTAAAAATACAAAAAATTAGCCGGGTGTGGTGGCGGGCACCTGTAGTCCCAGCTACTCAGGAGGCTGAGGCAGGAGAATGGCGTGAATCCGGGAGGCAGAGCTTGCAGTGAGCCAAGATTGTGCCACTGCACTCCAGCCTGGGAGACAGTGCGAGAGACTCCATCTCAAAAAAAAAAAAAAACAAAACAAAACAAAAACAAAACAAAAAAAATTTTCTGCACACTTGCCAGTTTGTACTGTCTCTGCTAAAGAATAGGGGCTGACTACCTCTCAGTGCCCCAAATAAGACAGGAAAAATTGTAACCTGATATAATCATGGTCAACTAAGCTTCATGATAAAAGAGAGAGGCAGGTACCTCAAAGGAGAGAACCATGTCAAACTCATGTTTGACTATGTATAAAACATTTCTTTTCTGCCTAAGATTGAGGAGGCAGACAGTAGTGTCTCAAACTACCACCTGGACCTTTAAACCAATTTAACAATTATGAAGAGAAATCTTGCCAAAGAGCCAAAAAACAGTACAGGTAATATTTAACTATTCATGTTATCTTGATTAGAAAATAAAGGGACTCCCCTGAAAAACTCTTCTGACCTATGTTTGTCATTTCCTGACACATAAAAAGGATCTATTGTTACGTGGGGCAGCAGGGGGCACACTGACAGGGAGAAGGGCATCTCCTTTTACTTTTGTATTTTTTATGCTTCCCACCTCCTCCCACCCACATTTCATTAACCCTATTGGTTTGTTTTGTTGCTTTAGGGGTGTTTTTTGTTTTGTTTTTAATCTCTCTCAACAGAATAGAAGCTTTTTAAGAGAAGAACCTACATATTTATCAATTTTGTATACCACTGCCACACATATAATAAGTACTCACAAAATATTTGCTGAATCTTAACTGAAGGATATCCTGCCATTCGTGACAACATGGAAAAACCTGGACATTATGTTAAGTGAAATAAGCCAGGCAAATACCTCATGATCTCACTTACATGTGGAATCTAAACACAGTGAACTCGTCCTCTCCACCAGGCCTGCAGTTTCTGGTCAGAACTCTTGACACTAACCTAGGAACCAAACTCCCCTCAATTATTATTGCACTCTCCAATTCCAGTTTCCATGGTGGGGCAGCTAACTTCCCTTCTTCCTTCCTTCCTACCCTATCTCTCCCTCCTTACTCCCTTTTTTTTTTGGAGATGGACTTCCGCTCTTGTTGCCCAGGCTGGAGTGCAGTGGTGTGACCTCGGCTCACTACAACCTTACAACCTTGACCTCCTGGGTTCAAGCCATCCTCCCACCTCAGCCTCCTGAGTAGATAGGACTACAGGTGGCCAACATCATGCCCAGCTAATTTTTGCATTTTCTGTAGAGACAGGGTCTTGCTATGATGTCCAGTCTGGTCTCAAACTCATGAGCCCAAGCAATCCTCCTGCCTTGGCCTCCTGAAGTGGTGGGATTACAGGCATGAGCCACTGTGCCCAGCCTTGCCTCTGCATTTTTTTTTTCCTTTTTTGACGCAGGGTCTCATTTTGTTGCCCAGGCTAGAGTGCACTGGCATGATCTCAGCTCACTGGAACCTCCGCCTCCTGGGTTCAAGTGATTCTCATGCCTCAGCCACCAAAAGTAGCTGGGATTACAGGCATACACCACCACACCCAGCTAATTTTTGCGTTTTTTTATTTTTTAGTTTGAGACAGTTTCACTTTTGTCTTCCAGACTGGAGTGCAATGGCGCGATTTCTGCTACCTGCAACCTCCAACTCCCGGGTTCAAGCGATTCCCCTGCCTCAGCCTCCTGAGTAGCTGGAATTATAGGGGTTCGCCACCACGCCCAGCTAATTTTTTCTGGGGGTGGTGGGAGGTATAAAAATTTATTATACATAAAGAATATTACCACTAACAAATGCAGACAAGCTAGGACATGGTACTGGGTGGAG